>NC_000006.12:155676850-155828365 GCF_000001405.40 Homo sapiens
TGGAATTATAATGGGTATTATGTTCCTTTCAGAAATCTATTTTTCGAGCCACCAGCAATGCAGATTTGTCAAATACCAGGAGCAGACTGTCTCCATTTATGCAATACACAGTAGGCATCAAGCAGTGAATTTCTGAGCTGCTCTGTTCCTCAGATGAGTAGACACATATCAGGTAAAACATGAAATAAGAATGAATTCATCCACATAGCAATGGTCAGGGCTGATATTAAAGATAACTTTAGATCTCTTCTCACTATGAGTCATTGATGGCAGAAATAATTTGTTACCGCAAAGACCAAACCTAAACACTCAACAAGTTAATGTGAAGATCAATTTAATTTTCTTACCAAAAAGACTACTTTACATTATTTTTGGCATTTGATTACATTAAAAGCATGTTGAAATAAAAGCAACCAATCTGTTCAATACAATCTAATGAGAAATAAATCTATTATAGTATATAGTTTAATTGCTTTGAAAAGATAACGACGAGTAAGTTTAACTTTGTTTCTAAATACATGTAACTGGACTACTTTCTTTTGCAACCTCTGCACTAAAGTTGAAAGAGATTTTATGCACAAATGCCAATAATGGTTTTAAACAATATAAATACTTGCTTGAAGATGGATACTAATGCCCTCTTTGGAACTATTGTGGTCCATCAGGTCAATAATATTCATTTAAAAAACTCTCCAAATGTGTTTTCATACAATAGCCCCTGAAGATAATGAAAGGCTCATTATGGTCTGCTGAGTCGATAATCTATGTTTTTAATACATACTCCAAAATTCATTTCCTCTTCTATGTCAATGTCTGTTTAAACTATTTCAATTAATTATTGTTAAGAGGAAAAGTTGCAATCGGTTTGAACTCTATATTTAACTGCTATTAAGCATTCAATTCTTATAATCAGTTACTTATCCTGATATGTTATAGATTATTACCAATAGCTTAGAGCAATGAAAGATCACAAGAAATTGGATGTTAGAGTGAAGCAAGAATAAAAATGTGTGCCAATAAAACAAAAGCAAAAAATTCTGTAACAATAACTTGGAAGAATTAGGCAAAAGCTAGTTTGTGTGTCAGTTGGCCAGGTTGTTGCAGATAATTTCAAGCTTTCTGAATATTTTTTAAAACTTAGTTTTGTGAGATAGTTAAATCAGAAATGTTAAATCTGGCCAATCTAACACAAGCATGACTAGTGGGTTCACAATAGCCTGTTTTGAGGTATAATTTCACATTTATTTGATTTGTGAGTGTAAGAAGCACTTTAATGTTTAAAATACAGACATTTTAAATATAGTTTGTATATTTAGTATCTGACAATTGAGACTAAAATTGCTTATACTTTTGTAGAAACTATGCCAAGGTTGTAAGGACTAAATTGTTAAATTTATTCTAGAGGGAAGCACTGACGATTTGAAATAAGGTTACATTTATTTTTTTTAAACATCTTGTTTGTAGGTATGTATGCATGGTTTAAAGTGTTGGTATTCCGTAATTTAACTGTATGATTTTATGCCTACTGCACTTTGGATGCTCATGAAAATGAGACTCCTCTTCTCCTTGCTTTTCTGCTGAACAGTCTTTCAATAAGTATTTTCTTCTCCTTCCTCTCTATTGTGGTTTTGTGAAAATATCTTTTAGCTTAATAATTTAACCTTGGTTTATTTTACTGGGTAGAGAGGGGTTAGCATTTTTGTCGAGCTCTGTTACTTGAATCTGGCAAGGTTCACATTTCAGTTAAGCTGGATTTTCTAACCTGCTGGTCTTCATCTGCTGGCTGCAGTGAAATCCTAAAACACAGCAACATGCTGGTATCATGAGTGATCACGCAGCTGTGTGAGTGAGAAATGAGAGAAACTCTGGAGGGGACTGAATCTGTGGCACGAGGGAAAAGATTCAACCTTGTGGAGGGGTATGGGGCGTGGAGCAGGGGCAGGAATGGTTGCTGGATTGGAGTCAGGGCAAATTCTAACTTCATAAACTCAATGCCCTGTCTGGCACCACCACATTTATCTTACAGAATCTATATTCAAGTTAGCAAGACTAATCACTGAAATCAGAGCCTTTAATACCATATATTCATTATTCATTCATTCGACAAAGACTTATTGTGTGCCCACCATGTACCATACCCTAAAAGCTTGGGGGAAAAATGGTGAGCATAGACCAGATCCAGCTGCCTGCCTTCATGGAGCTTCATGAGAGAGACATTTATAAAATATCATAGACAGAAAATTACAAGCACGATAGAAAGAGGGAGCAGATAGAAGAGTTGATCTGGTCAGCTGCGGCTGCCCCTAGAAAAGATGAATTTGGGTGAGAGCTGAAGGATTATGAATTGTTCATAATGACAGTACTAATGATAGTACTATATAGTGAAAACAGGTAACATTTACTTAATATTTATTATATGTTATGAGCATTGTAATTATACATTATGGGCATTGTCATAATGTGATAATGTAATAACTGAGTAAATCCCTCATAACAACTCTTTAAAGTAGGTATTATATTTAGGTTCATTTTATACAAGGGGAAACTGGGATTAAGAGAGGTTAAGTAACTTCCCTAAGATCACACAGCTCATAAGGAAGGAAGTGGGGAATTTGAATCAACACTGTCTAGCTCCAGAGTTGTTGTTCTTAACCATGACACTTGAACCTTCTTAGCAAACACAATCTGAATTTTAGGTCCTCTGCCACTAGGAAACAATTACAAAGTATTTTCTATTTTTCAGACACTACTCAAAGCTTCTGATTATGTTAATTCATTTGATTTTCCAAACAACTCTTTGAGATAGGTTCTACTATTACCCCCATTTTACCAGTGGGGAAATTACAGATTGCCTCCAGAGATGTTACTCTGGATCTCTTTGCTACCTGGCCTTGCAGGATGAAGGCAGGAGGTAGAAGTGCAGGACCCTTTTAACCATGCCGTGAGAGGACATTGGATGTCTGCTAGGGGACAAAGGGTGCAGCTAAAGAGACCTGCCAGAGGATGGATTAAGTGGTTCTGGAACAATTTTGTTTTCCTATTGTAAATATGTACATAATCTCATCACAAATAACAGTAACTGGTGATGAAGGAGAAGCTTGGGAACACAACCATGGATTAAAAATGTTACCCTGTAGACCAGCCTGTTGAGTACTTATATACAAATTAATCCAAGGTTAAAATTCAAATTTCTCTGAATCTGGGCGAAATATTTAAAAAAAAATTCTTCAAAAAAATGATTTTTGAAATATTTGGCTTGCATATCTCAAGATATTTGCAAACAAATTAGTTTATTGGCATTCTAGTACCACATTAACCAAAAGCACTAGTTACAAGCATGATGACCATTTGGTTTTCTATAGAATGAAATATAATGTGTTATCTACAATTTTAGAGTATGAACAGGAATACTTTTATTAGTTAATATTTGTGTTTAAAATTGCAAATTGCTATCTGCAATTTCTAAACAAGTAACCAGAGACAATACACATATTTTCTTCTAATATTATTATATTATTCTAATATATTTCTATCTAATATGAGATTCATGTGCATTTTTGGGGATTTTTTTTAGTTTTTATTTTGTTTTGGATTCATAAGCATTTTTAAAAATATTAAAAAGAAAATACTAGAATGCTGAAGTTTGGTTTGTCATTTTTGAAATGATAGTCATGGAGTATACCCTTATCATGAAAGGATACTCACTACATGACATGAGTGGGGTCAGTGTAAATGAGAACAATGAAATGTTACCATGAGATTAATGGGTCCTAATTTGCCACAGTTAGTTGATAGTGGCCTTCACCCAGCTAAGAACAGGAAGTTCCATTTTTAGTGACTTCAACCTTCATAATCTGTTGAATTACATCTCTTAGCATCAGCTGGTTCATACCTACTGTCAGGCCAAATGGAGCCATGCAATAGAAAAACCCGTTTTCTGAGAGTCTGAACCTTGGGTTGATGTAAATCTATTTATAGATGGCCTCAACATGCGTGCAGGAAACACACTTCTCTCTCCTGGTCCTGGTCTATTTGTCAAATACCAGGAGCAGAATGTCTCCATTTATTCAGTACACAGTAGGCATCAAGCAGTGAATTTCTGAGCTGCTCCATTCCTCAGAGGAGTAGACATGTATCAGGTAAAACATGAAATAAGAATGAATTCGTGACAGCAGGCAATTCTGGGATCCTGGACCGGGTGCCACCAAAGGCAGAGAGAGGACAGTTTCCTCTAACTGCAAAAAAAGAATATTTGGCTCCATCGATATAAAATTCAAATTCAGATTTGCAGTGGTAAAATTTCTAACTAGGGTGATGATTCATTTTCTAGACTTCCATTGTTCTGAATCCCTAAAGGGTCCAGATTCCAAAACAAGAAGCTAGGACAATAATTTGAGTGAACAGACACACATACAAGTGCATGTATGGGATTGCACGGTACATATTACAGCCTCCTAAAATACATAAATCTGGAGATGGGTTACTATACAGTTTACAGACGTATTCTTGAAAGCCTTCTCACAACTCTCCAAGACCTTTGGGGGAAGCTCAAGTCCCTTTGTTATGTAATAGTCGTGATCCCAGACTCTGAATCCCAGGCTTGTTGTCACTGGTTCTTGGTCCTTCACAGAAAACAGGTAGTTCTTGGTACACATTGGAGGAATGAATACAGATATATTTGAACTTGACCTCTATAAGGCTTCCAACAGAGAAATGAAGATGTACAGAAATTAAAGTAATTAGGAGAAAACGTTAATTTTTAACTTGTATATTAATAGAAAGCCTCATTGATATTTTCTCTATGCATAGCATGTAAATTGACTTTTTCCATCATTATTAGATCGCTTCTAGCTTTTGAAAAGCCATTTTAAAAAATCATTTTAAAACCCATCGTGAAAAAGCTGTAAAGACCTGTCATCTTTTCATCTTACCGGATAGAATTTATGAAGCGAGCTCCCTCTTCCTCTAAGTGACTGATCTAAGAAATTCACAGACCTTTACTTAGATCATGTGAAAATAAAAACCAAGCACGGTATTTCTATCATGAGAGACATCTTTCTTTCTTCTCCTATCACTATGTTTGATCATGGACAATGAGATATATCGTTGTATGCAGACATGTACATTTGCCTTTCCCAGCTAAAATTCTCACTAATATTTTGTCCATCATTCATCTTGACTATTTTGATTTTCTCCTGGTGGATTTTCCTCACTGCATTTATGAACGTTTCTTCCCAGACTACCAAATGTTTTCTTTCTTCTTCTTTTATCATCAGTTCTGAAAGAAGGCTGTGAATTTCCACAGAGCTGTTGTTTTTTGAGGGATTGTTTTGTCTTCAAATGCTGAGGATAGGCCATTTGTATTTTGGTGATAAAGGGATAATTTTTCTTCAGTAGAATTGTCTCCTCCATCAAGAGATGGAAACATAGCTCCTTCCTTTCCTACTCAAATTTTAACACAGAAAAGCTTTAACATAGATCTATTGATAGACAGTTGAATCCACAGTAAGCCACAAATTTACCAAAAGAATTCGTGGGATTTACTGAGTCAGTAATTCCTATTTTACTCAATATTCTGAAAAGCAAGAACTGGAAGCAGAACTTTGAGCTCTGCTTTATAATAATGATATTGGGGTTGTTTATGAGGGTCATGTTTGAATTACATATTCTTTCAGGCTCATAAGTCAGAGGGGAATAGTAACTCCATTGACTCATCAAATTTTTTAATTCTGTGAAACAAATCCCTCTGGAAAAATGAATATTAATAATTAGACAATATCCAATTAGGGGCCATAGGCCAGAGCTAATCCTTCAACTAAAAAATCCACAAAGCACATGTAATAGTAGAAACTTAAGTTAACAAACCCTATTAACATAAAATTAATGATAATAGTATAGTGTGAGATATTTCAGCCTCCTCCAACTAAGAGCCTATTGCCATATTTTTTTTCTTTTTCTTAGGAATTCATTTTCAGCATAAGACTTTAATATTGCCCTTTGAAACAAACATATAATTTTCATTTTATGTAGTTTAAGAACCCACATTTTGATCAATTCTTAAATATGAGCCTTTTTCCTCTCAAATTAAGGACACATGTAAGCCTGCATTTTCTTTTATTTTAATAGAGAAATTACAGTGTCTTCAGCAAATTAAATGAGGACTCACTCCATTCCTGACTCATTTAGAGATGCCAAGCAGATTTCTCATAATAATTTAGATTTCTATTAGTGTACAATTTACTAAAGACTTGGCTTTCCATTATCACAGCAGTCTGGAACTGGAAGGACCTCCATTTTACAGAGAAGACAAGGTTGGCGCTGTTTAGTAAAATGAGTTGTGCAACATCACCGATAAATATCAGTCGAATGATTCTGGGTGTCAGTATGAGCCCTGAGCGAACACGGTCTTTCCCTGCACATCCAGACCTGTAACCTCACCTGCGGTCAGTCACCCAGGGACCTGAGGCTCCCCACAGTTTTTCCCCTCATCGTGACCCCTTGCTTAGCCAAATGGAAGGAAAATATAAGAGGTAGGAGAAGTAATGAAAATAAAGTCAGTTCAACCCAAGCCAATGTTCCTTTTGGATCTGGTCTAGAGATTTTCTTGACCCCTTTACAATAAAATAATGTATTTTCATATCATTCTCCTTCATCTTGGTGGAAATTTTTCAGGATTTCAAGGACAAATCTGAAAAATACGTCTGTGTCTTTTTTATAGATACAAAGCTGGAGCCTCTGCATTCTAGTTGACGCATGTAAATAAAATCAACCAAAAGCTACCGGGCGAAAGGTAAACACTCAGCCTCTGAACAATAAAAGAAAAGGGGCTCCAAATATATTAAGGCCTAAATTATACAGTACACACAAGTAGACACAGGCAAGAATAATCTACAAACTGTTCCCTTTATGTATAATTCAGTACACAGATGCTTTTTATCTCACTAAATCAGAATTCAATCAGAAGAGCTAAAGCTTCATTATTAAGCAAATTTCTCCCCAATAAAATGCTGATGCTACTTTTCAGTTCCACAATTTAGAAATTCTTTTCATGGATACATTCAATTTGCTTGATTTCTGTTTTTCCTTCAAGTTTCTAGAAGACAAATTTCTATGGGATTTCAGTGTCCTATTTTAGCCTGGTCCAGTCTTTTTGAAATGAGAATATCTGTTTGCTTTAGTTGTCAATGGTCTTTGGCTACTGCAAACTGGGAACAAAGAGAGGAAAGAAATAATTTTCTTTTATCCCTTCCATCCATATTCCTATGAAGTTTCAAAAAATGTTTATTTTAGCTAACACAAAAATTTAACCTCAATAATTTGAACAAGATAGATTTAAAACAACAAAGAAACACCAGTTTTAACCCATCAAATTGGCAAAGCTTAAGAAGTATGATAATGCTCTGTGTTGGCAAGGGTGTGGAGAAATGGGCATAATTTTACACAGCTGGCAGGATTTTAGAATTGGTACAGCATGTCTCTAGAGCAATTTAGCAACATCTGTCAAAATACAGTAAAATGTATCTAGCATTTCCTAGGAATTACTAAGGAAAATATTAAACATATGTATAAAGATATTTGTTCTGAGATTTTACTTATGCAGTTATCTATAGAAAGAAAGCTTTTTAAAATATTCAGTAATAGTGGATTAGTTAAGTAAATTGTGGCACACATACATTATGTAAAAAAATGTTGTACAAGAATGTATGACATGAGAAAATGTTCACTGTTCTCACAGAGAGTTTTTAAGTAAAAAAGGGAGTCTGTGGAATAGTATGCTCGGTGTGATGCTGTTCAACTCTATTGAGATCTATTTCTGGAAAAAAACACACTAAAATGTTATCTGTGGTTTAATCTGTGTAGTGGATTTCAGGCAAGCTCGTTCTTTCTTTTTAAAAATTTCTTTATGTCTCTTTCTCTCCTCTTCCCTTCCCTTTCTCTCTTTATTTCATTCGTTCTTTCTACTCTTCTTTCTTGTAAGACAATTTGAAATAAGCAACAAATATTTCTGAGTATCTTCAGTGGAAAACTGCATTGTTTTGAGCGTACCTTTCTGAGTTATCTGATTTTAGCCTTCCCTTGCCTTTGAGTTACTTTACAGTTCTGTAAATTGTAGACAGCTGAGAGCAATGTAAATTTTTTTTTGTCTTTGGAAATGCAAATTTATTCTGTTCAGTGGAATTGTCAGCCCTCCTTTCTGTGGGAAAAATCAGGTTCATGTCCATTTGTAAATTCATTTGAATATTCTTTTACTTCACATAAATTTGTGCTTCTTTGACTTGTCCTTTGAACTAGTTAAAACATCTTTTCTGGTTCCCACGTGTAATAAATAGGCTAAATAAAATATTTGACAAGTGTTCCTTTTATACCTATATGACAGTTATGATTCTACATTTTCTGAAAATTACACTTTAACACTGGTTTCCTACTTTTATAAATTAAGCATTTGTTACTTTTTTATTAGAAAAGGAAGACCGCAGTAAATGTGATTTAAAAGAATATATTGTGCCACAGCTCCACATTACTATGTCTAAATGGCATTTTTATAAAACATCTTGCATTGAATTGTCTTAATATTTCTACAAACAAATTTGATTGATACTTATTAAACACATTATTTTCAAATCAATATGCTATATTGGAGGGTATATAAAGAAAGACAATGGCCATAATGTTAAACATCTTGCAATAGCTACCATTTTCTTTCTAAATATCAAAGTATCTGTTTCATTTTTAAATATGTGAAAATATAAACTGTATCTATATCTACTTTTTCAAAATGGCTTTGATCATTTGTGGCTTGATCCCTATGTGGGAGAAACAATGTCTTGTTGAGAAAAATATAGGCTGCTTTGGGCATAACAGTTATTAATTTATAGAACAGGCACTAACAGATCCGTATAATCTCAAATATTCACAAAAGGCTATTTTCTTTCAGAACCTGGCCATTAAAACATAGTCTATAATAAAATGAAGAGTTAGAGATGGTGGTAATAAAAAGAATCTGATACACGGCTTTGGTAGGCCAGGCAAATCAACTGTGATTATGCATAAAATATAATATACACTAGGTTGGAGAAAATAGTAGCCATGATCACTGCATGATCTGTTTCAATAATCAATTATTTTCAATGTGTACAAAATGAGTTTTATTAATGATTGTTTTTTGGTTAAAGTCCATAATCTACGAATATGGAGAGAAATGTTATTGTTAAGTGTTTGGAGGACCTCCTTCCCCATTCCCTTGGTTTTCACGGGGAGCAAATTGCCCTAAATCCTTCCAGCTTATTGCTCCTCCTCTGCTCCTTCCCTTGAAGATGGGTTGAGGAGGAGGTTATGGGTTGGCCAGGAGCATTAAGCAAGTGGCTTTTCCTACACAAGGAAGGATATATCAAAAAGGGGATGAAAGGCTCTTTGCCTTCATCAAAATGACCAGCTGGGCTCCACAGAGACAGCTCTAGGGGAGCAATTTGGTCTGGAATCTCCTACTTCATGGGGGAAAGTGGTGCTTCTTTTCCCTGGTCAGAGCTGCTATGATGAGGATTGTTGTCCAGGTACCATTCATTCTAATTTGCAAGGGCAAAAATAAGAACCTAGTTAGACCTCACTGCATACTCATAGCTGATAGAACATATCATCCCATAATTCTCATGGCATCCTAGAAATATGCCATGGTTTGAATGTGTCCCTACAAAAGCATGTATTGACAACTTAATCCTCAATGCAACAGTTTTGGGAGGTAGGGCCTACTGGGAAGTGTTTAGGTCATGAGAGTGGAGCCCTCATCAATGGATTAGTGTCCATTATGGAAGAGCTTGAGGCCGTGAGTTTGAGCTCTTGCTCTCTCTCACCATCTCTTTTTACCCTTCCATCAGGGAACGACACAGCAAGAAGGCCCATACCAGGTGCCAACCTCTTAATCTTGGACTTTCCAGCCTCCAGAACTGTGAGCCAATAGATTTCTGATCCTCATAAATTACTGTTTGGTTGTAGCAGCATGAAATGAACTAAGACAGGGAGAAAGTAATTTTAAGACAATGTGAAATCCTAATATTTTACATGGTTAGATTAGTTAATTGCAGTGGCTTCTTCTCTCTTTCCAAGGCCTATAAGTAACTATCTTTGCTTTACTCAGCAAGATCTAGAAATAAATAATGGACATATATGTATTACAACAATGTATTTTGTCTCCAAGACCAATGCATTTCCTGATCTAGCTAATTTGAAACTCTATGAAGAAGACAGCCCCTCAATTTGAACAGCCTTAGGTTTTGATAATTTATCATACTGTAGATCTTACTCTTTTGTAACATCAGGTAGAAACAAATCTTTTTCAATTTCCCCAGCTCTAGCAACAAGCATTTAAACCCCAGAGGTCTCCAAAATAGATATAAAATGTATTCCACACAGCCAGAAAGGCATCAGGATTTTCAGAAATTTTTCTTAAGGCTCTTTGAACATCTGAAAGTCCTCTACCATCATATCTCTGTTAGACATGTGAGTCCATTTGCTGGGTTTCAATTAACATTTTAGGTCACATTTTCTATTTCATCTTTCTCCTCTGTTAAACAATTGATCTCCCTACTTAGCATTTCCTATTAAAACGTGAATTGCGATATTTTGATTACTTTTTAATATTTCTCTTTTTTAAAAATTTTTTTCTAGAATTTTGAATTGGCATTTCATTTTATAACTATAACATTTAATTTTTTAATTTTTACATTTTTTTCTATGAAAAAAGTAACATTTTGTACAATAGAAAACCTAAAAAATACTGAAAAATATTGGGAGGGGGAGAAGGGGAGACGTCATCTGTACTTCTTAACAGCCATGAACATTTTTGCCTATGTTCTTATGAGTCTTTTTCCCTAAAGTTATAATAAAAAAAACTTTCTTTAATAGTGCTGTGTATAGATTTGTGTTACGAAAGTAGGACTAAAAGGATGAAATTTGTCACTCCGTTGGCTGATTCTCCGGCTCTGTCAGTGATTACTCCACCCTTTCCTGTGTTTGTTCCACGATCCATCCACTGAAGACCAGTGAGAGAAAAAGGACACTGAAAAAACAGCCCGTGACTTTTAAACTTAATGGATGGCTGGAGGCTTTTGCTTGTTTTGTTTGTTGGTTGATTTCTTCCACCCCAGTGTGGGGAGTGTCACTAGTTGACTGTTCCTTCAGTTGTGCCAAGAAGGGGAAATTAAGGATGAATGATTTCTGGAATTCTAAGTTACCTGAATTTTTTACTTAAATATAACCCTTTATTCTTTTTTTTTTTTTTTTTGACGGAGTCTTGCTCTAGTTGCCTGGGCTGGAGTGCAGTGGTAGGATCTTGGCTGACTGCAACTTCCTGGGTTCAAGCAATTTTCCTGCCTCAGCCTCCTGAATAGCTGGGATTACAGGCACCCGCCACCATGCCCAGCTAATTATTATTATTATTTTTGTGTATTTTTAGTAGAAATGGGGTTTCACCATGTTGGCCAGGCTGGTCTCCAACTCCTGACCTCAGGTGATCTGCCTGCCTCAGCCTCCCAAAGTGCTGAGATTACAGGTGTGAGCCACCATGCATGGCCTATTCTTATTTTTAAAAGAAACACATGTTCATTACTAAACAAATCAGAAAACACAAATACAAATAATTTTTTTCAATAAGCAAACACCAAATAGGATGTCATTTACCACCCATTTCTTCAGAGACAGTCAATGTCACTCCTTCAGATAGACTTACTGGTTAAATCCATAAACATGTATTAAAATGTTTATTCTAGGCTCTTTTTTAGGCATGACAGTAAATAAGACAGAAAAAGTCTCCGTTCACAAGAAGGCTGCATTTTGGTGGAGAAGAACAGACAATAAACAGAAAACAAATTGTGTGCAAAATTACTTTATATCATTATTAGATATAAAGATATTAGATATGAAGGAAATGAGCAGGGTGAATTAACACTTACAGAAAAAGGAGAATCTCTATGTATTTATGTATCTATTATCTGTCATCTATCTATCTATCTCTGTCTAATCTATTGTCTACGCATCTATTTATCATCTATTATTATCTATCTATATGGAGACTTTATATTTTCTGCTTTGTAATACCTTTGAAATTCTTATTCTTCCATTGAAAAAAGTGGAACTTTATTCCCTTCCAAGAGGAAAAGTAGGGCAAATTTCAGAAGCATCTTCAAGTAATGGAATCATGGCTGGGTGACACCGGTCATATCAGTTTTATACTATGCATCTTAGTTTCCTTGTGGGTTAAGGGCACAAGGTCATCTTCTCTGAATCTGTGGTCCATGAAAGGATTTGAGGGGTCTCCTAAAGTAGTGTGTAGAGGTTTTTTTTATATTTGCAATTAAAAATTGCATTAAAGTTTCAAAAATATCTATAAACTCACAGTCAAGAACTACTGGATTTAATTCCAATGCCCTCATACCAACAGTCTATGAAATCTTTGTCATGGGAATTTGGGAGCTGTTGACATCCTGACAGTATCAGGATGCATCCATATTTATCTGGTATATTTGAGTCAGTTCAGATTTGAAGCAATATTTTGGAATTTTACGTAAAATTTACTTCTGGTTTTCTCTTGAAATCCTGCCTCTTATCTCTGTTTTTGGATTCTCTAATCTCCTAATCTCTGCAGATTTTCATTTCTGCTCTTGCAGAGTGGGTTTACTTGTGTAGTTGTGCCTGTAAATAAAGAATCTCTCTCTCTCTCACACACACACACACACACAGAAACACACAATCTCAGTTCCGATGAATTTAAAAAGCAAGACTAAAAATGGCTTCACAATCATATGCTATGGTCTGGAATATAATAATTTAAATCACTGATCACAAAATAAATAAAGTGCGTGTATATTGGAGGCTAAGAAAATGAGAGACAGCTGCCTTAAATCTTACTGGAATAGGCAGGGTAAGTATAAACAAACAAACAAACAAACAGCAAACATGACAATGATGAAAGTAGCCCAGGTCTTCAGGGTGGTGCAGCAGACTCTTTGATTCCTTTATGCGCTCATTTTTCATTCTGAAAAATAAATGTAGCCATCTCCTTGTAATTCACTCTTCCCAGTGGAAAATATAATCAATGGTAACTGTATTTATTTATGCAGAATTTTATAACCCATTGACATCCTCAAAATGAGTTTTCCAACATCCAGAAAGAAAACTCTCCAATACATGTCAAGGACTTTGAAGTACCTTCCTACTGACTTGTATTGTACGCTGAAACCAACAGTGTCAAAGAAAAAACACTTACGTTCCTTCACTGATGTGTCGTGCATGCCCATTCGTTTTTCTAATATTGAGTCTTGGCATTGATTCCTCTTTCCTGAAATCAAAGAGAAGAGAGCTCCAGATTTTAGATTAAGAAAGAAAGCTCATAGATGTGTGGATTTTAGTGACAAGGAAGAAAAAGTCTCAAGATCTCAAACTGGAAGCCTGCTGACTAATTGTATTTTCTAGCTCATTACGTTGGTAACTATAATTCATTGCATGGACAAGTACAACTTACCCTATAATCTATATGCATATCAAATTTCTGTAAGTTGATTTATATTTAAAACCCACTTTATATGCTCCCTTGCTCAACCTCTGTGAGGGCAGGTGTTCGGTCTATTCTGTTCACTGTTGAGTTCCTGATATTAATGCAGTGCCTGGCATGTATAGAGACCTTAGTAGTAATTATTTGAATGAATACCTAAATGAATGGCTGAATAAATGAGTTAATTAATGAAGATACAGTACTAGGAGATGTTACTAGTTAAGACTTCCAATGACTAATTTCTATACATGTATATTTTCCTGATAGCAAGTTCTCAAAACTCACTTAAGTACTCTAGTGATTCTTTTATTCAAGAGCCATTTTTTTCCTCTTCTTGTTAATAGCTACAATGAACTGAGGCTTTTGGGCAATATCTCTACAAGATTTTATTTCTATTTAGATGTGGAATGACTTGGAAATGTTACAGTTGTTTTTGGCTGAATATTCCTGATGTACGGTAATTTTGGTAAGCAGTGTTTAGTCTGTACGTTATTCTGGAAGTTCTTATAACATTCTGTGGCTGAGGAATCCAGAACCAGGAAGGGACAAGGGTCTGGGGAAACTTACCAAGTTCTGGGGCCAGCAATTGGAGGCCAATGCGTTTGTCCAAAGGCACTTGGAGAGCTCAGGCTTAATTTGGGCAGGAATAGGGGTTACAGCAAGAATGGAAGCAGCCTGGGATGCTCAAAATTAAGCATGGGATGGTGATGTGATCTCTGGATTCAGGCCTAGGTGGGATGTTGCAAGAGAAAGGCTGGCCTTGTGATGAAATATCAATCCTAGAGCCTCTATTTGGACCTGTATTAATATGACATGATCTGAGGAAGGCCATAGTTTGGGAGCAAATATGCCCAAGGGGATATTTAAGATCTGTCCTACACCAGCTCTATGATGTTGAGCCAAATTCCAAATGGCGAGGCTAATTTCAAACTCCATGTGGAAGAGTTGAGGGTTTAATCTGCTTTCCACTCTATTCTAGAATAACTCAGGGACCAGGAGGGGTGTATCTGTACATGAGGGTTCCTGAGTAATATAGATGTGAGGCTTGAGAGAGGCAGACTGATAAAGTTAATCCATCAGGAAATCAGCACCAAGTCTTTGTTCCAACAATTCTCATCCATTAGTAAATCAAAGGTCTAAGTATCATTGTTAATAATAAGAGAAATGTGCAAATGTGTGAATTTGCAGCCCAGTGTTACACTTCTCGCAAATACTATATATCTTTTCAGGTTCCCCCCCACGATATGCACGCATGGGCGCAAGCAAACACACACACATACATACACACACGCACACACACACAGGCTTAGTGTTCAGGTAGGAGCTTGTCAAGGAAAAAATAAATCTAGACTTAGGATTTTATTCAAAATCCAAAAGGATTCTTTTCATTCAAAAGGACTTTTGTAAAAGGAATGAGGGGAGAGAGACGATTGCACTAAGCAGGGCGGGGCGACGGGTATTGCCCTAGAGTGAATGCTGGGACAATTAAGTCTGCAAAAAGGAGTTTTCATTTACAGAGAGAAGTAGACAAAGCTGGAAAGAACTGGATGTGAGGTGGTGGAATGAACGGGTCTGGGTCAGATCGCAGATCAGAGAATGTTTGACTTTGAGGCCAGTGTGTTCTCAGGAGAGGCTGCATGCTGGCTAACGCTGAGGGAGGGCCAAAGTTTAAGGACCTGGGGGAAGAAGAGAAGCTTGACCAAGATGTATGTCAATTGATCAGCAGAGAAAAGCAGTTCAGCTCCTCATTTATGAGTCAAGAAAGGGAATTTGGGGAGTCTGTGTCTCCCTTGTCTTAACTTGTCCTAGGTAAACCAGGGGGCAGGTGTCTGTAAGTCTGAGTCCTACAGGTAGAGTGGTTATTTGCAGTAAGCCCTTTTCCAAAACACAATAGGGTGCAGGATTCCCTGAACAGTCACTGTTTTCCAGGATCACAAGGCTCAGGGAGGATTTGACATGGCCAAGCTCAACTCTGGGGCAAGCTAGGGTCTCACTTCACCCTAGAAAGGCATGGAAGCTGCTGTAAATCCTGGTTCCTGCTTCAGATGGCTCAGGTCCATGCTGCTCTAGTTGGCTGGTGGAAAGAGGAGAACAGGGGGATCCTGGAAGTGACAGCAGGGAGGGCTTGCTTATTGGCCCAGCCCCTGACACCAACCTGGCTGAACCTCTAGCCATCCAGACCACTGCAGGCAAATGCCTAACTTATTGAATTTGTGAAGTTCCCTCTCTGCTGCCTGCATTCCCAACAGTGAAATCCATTTACCAGGCTAAATATATTTAGGGAATTCAGAATCTTGGTAGCATGAATACTAAATTTCTGTACTACTGACTGATTTTTTGGTCTCTCTGTATCATATTAGTACAAGGGGTTGGCTTTTCCAAGGCCAACTTAGCATGGTCATAAAACTTATCCTGTTGGACAAAAGAAAGGTTGTGGCCTGGTGTGGTGGCTCATGCCTGTAATCCCAGCACTTTGAGAGGCTGAGGCAGGTGGATCACTTGAGGTCAGGAGTTCAACACCAGCCTGGTCAACATGGTGAAACCCCATCTCTACTAAAAATGTAAAAATAAGCTGGGTGTGGTGGCGAACACCTGTAATCCCAGCTACTTGGAAGACTCAGGCAGGAGAATCACTTGAACCCAGGAGATGGAGGTTGCAGTAAGCCTAGATCATGACATTGCACTCCAGCCTGGGCCACAGAGTGAGACTCCATCTCAAAAAAAAAAAAAAAAAAAAAAGGTTGTGATATTTGTGTGCAAGCAACCACCAAGGAATACAGTAGCATTTTTTTTCTGCATACATTTAAAAAGTAAAGATCCATATGATGCCAGGCCATTGGCCTGGGAGGCAAGAAAAACTAGCTCAAATAAAATATACTGTTTCTGATTAAGAAAACACTTTTTATTCGTATAAAGTATTTATTAGGTATTGGATTTTATAAACTGTTTGGTCCTGGAGTCTTTATTTTAAAAAGGTTATTCTGAATGCATTACCAACTATCCTGTGGAATATTTCACATAAAAGGAAGCAAAAAATGTGTGAATGTAAACAGGCTAATTGTATGCAGATATAAATTATGGATGCTGGTCTTATGAAAAAGCATTGCTGATTTGCAGGGGTCTTACTCAGCAGCTCTGTGTCTTGTCTAAGGGGATATTTAGTATGGCTGTGATGTGCAGAATTTAAAATAAAACTTTGAATTCTGGAGAGTAAAATATAGCCCAATTGTGCTAAGATCACACTGTGGGGAGAATGAGGTTTTTATCTACCTTATTGCTCTTGACTTTGACACTCATTAGCTCTCTTATCCTACGTGTGCTCTTGTCTCCAGATGCTCTGCAAAGGCAAAGGTTTGGTCAGGCCTGTTTATGGGTCTGCAATGCTTCTCTGCAGTCACTGCAGGTGACACTGTCTCCAACACTCTACATGGTTTTCATTGCTCAAGTGGGTATATCATACCCACGGCTAAGGTTAAAAAGGCATCTGGAGTCTCGGGAGATCTAGGTTATTAAAGATTCCACCCCCTGACCCCCGCCGCTTACAAAACAAATGAAAACATGAAACTTATAAAGGATGCTGTAGACAAAAGGCAATCATGTAGAACGCTGCAAACCGAAAGGCCTGTGGTATGATTACCTCTGATGCTGGAAATGTGCCAGGCCACCACCAATTTTTATCTAAGTTATGCCAACACGTTTAACCTTGAGTTAAAGAAACTGCCCATGCCATCCCAAAGCACTGAGGAAATAGGGAAAATGAACAACTTCCTACGTGTAAAATAATTGATCTCATATTTTATGATATGTGACACCGAATGTTGTAGAGATTTATGTGGACAGCATAAACCTTTATCTGACATGTGATGTAAATGCTTCACAGTAAATAATTAACTAGAACAGGCTGACTTTCCTTTCCAGGAATCAGGTACTGGTTAGTCCAGGGCAGAAGGACAGACTGGAACTATGAAAAAAAGCATTTTGTCCTTGTTCTAAATTATGAGTAGTAAACTTAGTATTTAGAAACAATGGGAGTTTCT
The DNA here is from genome assembly GCF_000001405.40 of Homo sapiens. Lineage (NCBI taxonomy): Eukaryota > Metazoa > Chordata > Mammalia > Primates > Hominidae > Homo > Homo sapiens. The sequence continues at coordinate 155,694,431 of NC_000006.12, forward strand.
AAGGTCTATAACGATAAAGTATACTTTAAGGTAATTTTAACGCAGTCTAAAGAAGGTAGCTGCCATATTAACTCTCTGGAGGAATGGAATAAATTATATAGCAGAGTTCTCCAGCAGGATAGAATAAAAAAACACAAAGAAGCCTTGTGGTCGGGCACAGGATCTGCATTTTCCCTTGAACTGTAATGTTTGTAACTAAGTCACTCACCATGAGAATGTTTTATGGTTTGAATCTGACTATAGGCCAGATTATCTGGAAGAAGCTTGGCCTTGCTCTTGGTTCTTTTTTTTAAACTTGCTCTTCACCATAATGCTGCTTTTTGCCTACCCTGATTGAAGAGCTCCTTATAACAAATTTCTCTTCTCAGTAACCTCCAGATTTCTTAGCCTGGACTTGATATCCAGGGCCTTTCCAACACAATTTAGTGGGTCATCTAATTTAAATGAACTAGACTATATCATAGTGTTAATATGTCAGCTTCTCTGAGCCCAAATACTTTGGTTTTCATTGGTAGCTGGAAAAATGAACTTTAAGCTAGCACTTTGGGGTCATCTATTTAGCATATATTTATTGAATGTTTATTGTAAGCAAAAGCGACACCAAAATATTGTCTTAATAACCTTTTGAAGCCAGGCGTGGTGGCTCATGCCTGTAATCCCAGTACTTTGGGAGGCCGACGTGGGTGGATGATGAGGTCAGGAGATTGAGACCATACTGGCCAACATGGTGAAACCCCGTCTCTACTAAAAATGTAAAAATTAGCTGGGTGTGGTGGCATGCACCTGTAATCGCAGCTACTCGGGAGGCTGAGGCAGGAGAATCACTTAAACCTGGGGGGCAGAGGTTGCAGAGAGCTGAGATTGCACCACTGCACTCCAGCCTGGTGACAGAGTGAGACTCCATCTCAAAAAAAAAAAAAAAATCTTTTGAGATTGGCATGAGCCCAGTTTTAAGATGATAGAATTAAGGTCACAGTTGTTAAGCGTTTGTTGCTGCCCTTTGTTGTCATTTGTAATTGGTCTTGGATGTTTTGTATACAGAAGTCTGTCAAGTAGAGACTAGCAGACGATTTGGTTAATTTCAGATGTGTGCACAGGCTGGGGCGTGGTGGCTCATGCCTGTAATTCCAGCACTTTGGGAGGCCAAAGCGGGAGGATCTGTTGAGACGAAGATTTTCAGACCAGCCTTTGCCACATAGCAAGACCCGCTTCTCCACAAAAAAACACAAAAACTGGCCAGGTGTGGTGGCGCACACTTGTGGTCATACCCACAGCTAAGGTTAAAAAGGCATCATACCACAGGCCTTTCTGTTTGCAGCATTCTACATGATTGCCTTTTGTCTATAGCATCCTTTATAAGTTTCATGTTTTCATTTGTTTTGTAAGTGGCGGGGGTCAGGGGGTGGAATCTTTAATAACCTAGATCACCTGCTGTCATACCCACAGTTACTTAAGAAGCTGAGGTAAGAGGGTTGCTTGAGCCCAGGAGGTTGAAGCAGCAGTGAGCTGTGACTGTGCCATTGCACTCCAGCCTAGGCGACGGAGCAAGGCCCTGTCTCTGAAGCGAAAGAAAAAAATAAAACCCAATATGTGGACAGCCTGATCGTATTCCAATCTGAAGTCACGGTAATCTGGTTTGATAGTCTCTGCTGCCTACGTTGTCCAGGCAATTACCAAGGAGCTCCTCCATCTTGTGCTGGGTAGACTCAGATTTGCCAGTTTGAAAACTGGAGATAGCCATGCTTTTCACAGAAAACACCACCATTCCATTATGTCATTTTAGATCTAAAAGAGATTCCTCAAAGTGCTGGAAGATGGTTGTTTAATTGTAAGGTGCTTATTCCCCTTCCCCATCCAACAACACTCCAGTAACCCCAGTAAAAGGCCCCCACCCCGAGGCAGGCATTCACTGCGGGATAATAAAGCTGACAAGTAAATGATAAATTATAGGACATACTAAACACTGACTTGGTTGGACAAGTTATCTCAGCTCAAAATGTGGACTTATTTACTGAAATCTAAAGTTTAAAACATATTTTTACTACTACTAAGATAGCTCTGTAAATGAAACCAAAAAAAACCTGTTCATAATGGCTATTGTATCTGAAAATTATTGCTATAATAACTGGAACTCCATAACATTTTCTTAAAATTTGATGGCTTATTTTCCTTTGATAAAAATTCTACTTGTATATTAAAAAAAACTTTTTGATGTTGTAAAAATGAAGTAATAGAATTCGGGAAGGCCACTTCCTTATGGGGCACTTAAGAGCTGAATTATCAAAGAGAACCCAGAGAAGTGGGGGAATTCATCCAAATTTAGAAGGGCTTAATGAGCTCATCTCTGACTTTTCATCTCTATCTGCAAATGAGCTGAAAGCTGCAGCTGTTTTCACAGGCAGAAAACTGGACTTTGGTGGACAGCCACAAAAGAGTATGTGACCTTTCATTCAAGAAAAGATAAAGAGCTATTTGTGGATATTGGAAATGCGAAGGTAACGTCTACATCCCCCAGGGAAGCAACAGCTCCGAACTCAGGGCTATCAAAGCGTTTTCAAAAGTGAGACTAGATATTAATTTAGACTAGTAAGCAGCAAAGGAAGTTTTATCAAAGCATCCAAAACAGAGTTCTTATTGCTCGTGCAGCTTAATTCTCAAGTTGAGTTTGAGCCACAAATTTAGATTCTGCTTTATCATAGAATAAATTAAATGTGATACTTTTGAAGCGGATTCAGTTTTTTGTTTGTTTGTTTTTAAGTTTACTACTCTTCTTGATTCCATCCAGAAAATGGATGAATTTAGGTGCCAAAACTACTGGATTCTACTGTTGTTAGTTACAAGGTCAGGTCAATTTAAAATTTAAGATCCTAAAAATGAATTATGGGCACTAGACACTAAAATACATATGTAATATGCTGTAGCATTTCATATTAAAATGCTGAATACATTTAATAATGAGGTAAATAAAAAGAGGGCATTTTAAAAAAAAATTAAGTACTCCAGTGCCTGGACCAGAATTCCATCAGGCAGTTATAAAATGAAGAGCAGAGGCCAATTGACTGAAAAATGCAAAATATGTTTGTGTATGATGATGGTGTGAAAAGAAAGCTTGTCTTGTCTTGTGAGAAATAACTGTTTGTGCCTCATGGCTGAGAGGTGCTGTTCAGGACCAGTTACTCCACTGCATGAACAATCAAGCTTACAGAATATGTGTAAACCTATGATTTCTGTTGATTTATGTACTTTGTGTCTAATGTATTCATCAGTGAGTGCTGAATAAATACATATGAAACAAGATTTTTAAATATGTGAACCTAATATATAACACATTTCATTACTCACCTTAACATTGATAACCTGAAAATTTAGGATGCAGCCTGGGCAACATGGCAAGACCCCCTCTCTATGAAAAATAGAAAAAATAAGCAAATTAATCAGGCTTAGTGGTGCATGCCTATAGTCCCAGCTACTCAGGAGGCTGAGGCAGGAGGATCTCCTAAGCCCAGGTAGGTTGAGGCTGCAGTGAGCCGAGATAGTGCCACTGCACATCAGCTTGGGTGACAGAGTGAGACACTGTCTGGAAAAAAAAAAAAAGAGATGTGTTATTGGGAATTCAGGAAGTTTTCAGCCCTTCTATTATTATGCTACCATATTGGACACAGGACAGATATGAAGGTGTATTTATGAATTGATTGACTAATTTCAGAAGTGTAGTTCACACTACTCTTTAGAACTAAACTTTCTTTCTTAAACACAGTGTCTCTGATGTGGTTCCCCACACATTTATTGGAGCAACTTCTGTTTTTTTTTTCAACTGGAAAAGTGTTCTCTAATCTTTACAGAATGTGTCCCTGGGTTTCTTCAGCTTCTAATTTCCCTAGTAATAGGAGAAGAGATCAGATGTTATGTGTAGGACTTGCGCCAGCCCTCTGGGCTCCCAGCTCAGGCTCTGTTAATGACTTTGTTTAGGCCAATACTCTTATACCTCAACGCTCCAATCTCTGCCATCCCTTCTTGGGAATGACAACACAGGGCCTGAAAAAAAATACACGCTATTCTTAAGTATAATATTTTTCCTTCCATGTCATAGCCATTTTTAGATGATCAACACCTAAAATTTTATCACTAATAACCACATAAGACATAGTCTTGATTTAGTTGTGATTAGACTATATATATATATATTTCCATATAGAAATATACCCATTATGACTTTTTCTCATTCTTTTATCTCTTTACTAACCAATATTAGTGTGTATAATAATTTTCTGTTTAATAGATTTAGCTCAAAGCAAAGCCAAAGGAAGCTGAACTGCAATGATGCTTCCTATTTGTATATTAAATTACAGTTTGTAAAGCATTTGGAGAATTTTTACACATTTACTGTCCCAACAACTTTGCAAAGTAGTTACAGAGTCAGGTCAATTTAAAATTTAAGATCCTAAAAATGAATTATGAGCACTAGATGCTAAAATACATATATAATATGCTATAGCACTTCACATTAAAATGCTGGATACATTTAATAATGGGGTAAATAAGAAGAGGGCATTTTTTTGAAAAATTCAGTACTCCTGTGCTGTTATCCCTATTTTACAGATGAGGAGAATGAGAGAGGTGAGTGACTTGGCCAAGGTCACACGCCTAGGAAGTGGCAGAGCCAGTAGTCAGGTCTAATGGCTACAAATTGGAGTATGTCGCAGTACACATGGGGAAGGAGAAGGCCCTATGTAAGCATGTGTATCTCCTTTCATGTTAAATTTCCTCATTAGCAATTTCTTTCTCTCCTCCATTCCTTTCTTCCTCCCTCTGTCCCCCCTTTTCTTTCCTTCCTTCTTCTTTTTCTCTTTGTCTTTTTACCCTCCCTCCTTCCTTCCCTTTCTCTCCTCCTCCTTCCCTCCCTCCCACCCTTCCTTTATTCTTCCCATCTTTCCTTTCTTTCAACAACTCTCAGTGAGCATTTACAATGTCCTAGACACTCTTCTAAATATTGAAGGTAAAATGATGAAGAAAACAACAAAAATCGTCAAACTAGGATATGGAGTACTGTAGGAATCAAACTGAGCTTTTTATCTCCCTGGCATAACATGACAAAAAATGTACTTCTTGTTCATGGAAATCTGGTGCAGGTTGGAGACCCTCCTTCTCCTGGGGTTGTACCATCTGAAAAAGGTAGCTTCCAAACAGTCATGGCAGCAGGGGAAAATTGGAATGAAGAAGACACCTTGACTCTTAATGATTTGGTCCAGAAGTGACATAAGTCACTTCTGCTCACAGTCCACATGGCCTCTGCCTGGCTGACGGGGAGGCTGGGGAATACTAGGGTGAGCAAACTATCCTTTTCCTAACCCTGTCCTCACGGAGCTTTTAGTCTGTAGGTGGGGAAGGCACAGATAATTAATAAGTGAACAAATAATTGCAAACAGTGATAGGTACAGTAAAGAAAATAGGCAGTGGCAGGTAATAATAGACAGAGCCCAGAAAAAATTGGGGACATTGAGAAAATCTCTCAGGCTTTTGCCTTTTGGGAGGGCATCCAGCTGAGACGTGCCCAGAAAATGGGAGATAATATATGTGGGATGTTTTAAGCCACTAAGCTTGTGGTAGTTAACCATGCAGCAGCATTAAACTACTACAAACAGTGTCACAGTTTTCTCATAATCTGTTAGTTAATATCATACTTAAGTTTTTATTATGGGCTTTTTAAACTTCTTCTTTAATAGTTTGTTAAAACTGGAATACATGCAAAAAGAATATTTAAAATGTATGTCACAAATATAAAGTAAAACAATAATTCAAATACCTCCTAGCTTATGAGATAGAGTTTACCAATCCTCAAAGAGTCCCTGGATATACCTCCGCAAACCCCCGAGTATCAGAAGTAAATGACATCTTGAATTTTTTTTGTGTGTGTTATTCCTATGCTTGTTTTTGCAGATTTACCACATATGTATGTATCCTTTAAACAGTCTCATTCTGCTTTGCACACCTTTGACCATTTTATGAATGCATCATACTGAAGATGTTCTGCAAATTGCTATTCTTTTTCTCCATTATGTTTAGAACATCAACTATGTTGATGTGTGTAGCTTTAGCTTATTTATTTTTCTTTTTTCTTTTTCTTTTCTTTCTTTTTTTTTTTTTTTTTTTGACAAATTCTCGCTCAGGCTGGAGCACAGTGGCGCGATCTTGGCTCACTGCAACCTTTACCTCTCGGGTTCAAGCGATTCTCCTGTCTCAGCCTCCCAGGTAGCTGGGACTACAGCCACGTGCTACCACATCCAGCTAATTTTTTTTTTTTTTTTTTCAGTAAAGATGGGCTTTCATAATGTTGGCCAGGCTGGTCTCGAACTCCTGACCTCAAGTGATCCTTCTGCCTCAGCCTTTCAAAGTGCTAGGAGTACAGGTGAGTTTATTTATTTATTTTTCATTTCCAGAGAGTATTTCATCTTATGAGCATACCATGATGTATTTATCTATTCTTCTCTCCAAGGATATTTGGGTTGTTTATTTCCAGGATTTTTTCTGTTATAAACATTGCTAGGATGTACATTCTGGTCTATGCCTGCCAGTGAAATAGCTGGATCATAAGTTATGCACATTTTCAACTTTTCTAGGAAATGTCAAATTATTTTCTGAAGTGTTTGTATCCAATTACACTCCCACCATTGGTTTGTGAGAGTTCCCACTATTCTACATTCTTGCCAAAATGTGTTACTATCAAGTGTTTTTTAACTTTTGCCAATCTGGCGAGTGTGAGATGATATCCCTTTGGTTTTATTTGGCATTTTCAGGATTAATCATGCTGTTGAGTTTTCTCTTCCTAGATGGCTGAGATGCCGTTTGCATTTCTTCTAATGTGAGGGGCCGCAAAGTCATGAATTGAATCAGTTAGGGTTCCAGAAGGAAACAAGCGGCACACCCACACTGAGGAATTGGAGGAGATTTTAATAAAAAGGTGATTTACAAAGCTGTAGGCAGGATCCCAAAGCAGATAACAGTGCTGCTTCTCGTTACACTCTTAGGCTGGAAGGTGTGAAGGAAGGGAGTGGTAACGGCCCTGATTTGATCCCTGCGGAGGGCATCAGAGGTTGTAATGGGAGCTGTGGAGGATGAAGTCAACCTCGGGTGGCCCCATCAGGAAAGAGGTGTAAGGGGATAGGAAAGATAATTCTCAGACATCAGTCTCTGTCTTCCCTCTCATTTCCTGCCAGTGTTTCCATTGTTTGACTCCCCCAGGAGCCACAGGGACCAGGGAACCTGCTGCTATGATCGTTGCAGGCCCAGAACAGGGTGGAGAAAGGAGGAGAATGGGTCTGAGGGCCAACATGAAAGTCTCCAGTCAATATGCTGCTTTTCTACTGAATTGGTTGAATTTCCCTTAGTGATGTGTATGTGTGCTTCTACAGAAGCACAGATGTTTCTTTAGCCTCTGCCCAGCTGATTTCTGTGTGAGAATCTCACACCTTTACCAAGTACCCATTTGCTATTTGGCGTGACGTGTTTCTTTACATTGAGTTACAATTTGCCTTCCTAAAACATGCAGTCATCAATCATGTTCCAATTCCCCTTGAAAAAATGGGCCTTCAAAATCCAGAAGACGTATTCCTAGGTATTTTTGTGTGTGTGGCTATTGTAAATGAGATTGCATTTTTGTTTAATTCTGTTTGAGTGTTATTGGTGTATAGAAATGCTACTGATTTTGTACATTGATTTTGTATCCTGAAACTGAAGTCATTTCAGTACTAGGAGCCTTTTGGCAGAGTCTTTGGTGTTTTGTAGGTACAGAATCCTATCATCAGTGAAGAGAGATGGTTTGACTTCTCTTTCCTATTTGGGTGGCTTTTATTTCCCTCTCTTGCCTGAATGCTCTTGGCTAGGACTTCCAGCATCATGTTAAATAGAAATGGTAGATCAAGTGTCCTTGTATTGTTTCACTTAAAGGAATGCTTCCAGCTTTTGCATGTTCAGTGTGATGTTGGCTGTGGTTTGTAATTAGATGGCTCATTATTTTCAGGTTTGTTTCGTCAGTGCCTTGTTTGTTAAAGGTTTTTATCATGAAGGGATACTGCATTTTATTAAAACTTTTTCCATGTCTGTTGAGATGATCATATGGTTTTTGTTTTTAATTCTGTTTATGTGGTGAATTACACTTACTGACTTGCATATGTTGAACCAACCTTGCCTCCCAGGAATGAAGCCTACTTGATCCTGGTGAATTAACTTTTTGTTGTGCTGCTGCATTTGGCTTGCTAATGTTTTGTTGAGGATTTTTGCAGGTATATTCAGCAGGGATATTGGCTGGCAGTTTTCCGTTTTCGTTGATTCTTTGCCAGGTTTTGGTATCAGGGTGATGCTGGTTTCATACACTGAGTTAGGGTAGAGGTCCTCCTCCTCAACTTTTTTGGAATAGTTTTAATAGAATTTGTATCGGCTCTTCTTTGTACTTCTGGAGTTCAGCTATAAGTCCATCTGGTCTGGGGCTTATATTGGTTGGTAGGTTTTTGTTAATGATTCAATTTTGGAATTTGATATTTTTCTGTTCAGTGTTTCAATTTCTTCCTAATTCAATCTTGAAAGGTTGTGTGTTTACATGAATTTATCCATTTCCTCTAGACTTTCTAGTTCATGTGCATAGAGGAGTTCATAAAAATGTCTGAGAATCTTCTTTCTGTGGGATTCGTTGTAAGGTCACCTTTGTAATTTCTAATTGTGCTTATTTGGATATTCTGTCCTTTTTCCTTTGTTAATCTATCTAGCAGTCTATCAATCTTGTTTTTCCTTTCAAAGAGCCAATTTTTGGTTTTGTTGATTCTTTGTATGGATTTCTGGTTCTCAATTTCATTCATTTTTGTTCCAATTTTAGTTATTTATTTTTTTCTGCTAGCTTTGGGGTTAGTTTGTTCTTGTTTTTCTATTTTCTCTTGCTGTGTAACCAAGGAGGTAAAAGATCTCTACAAGGAAAACTACACAATACTGCTGAAAGAAATCATAGGTGACATAAATAAATTGAAAAACATTCCATACTCATGGATTAGAAGAATCAATATAATTAAAGTGGCCATACTGCCCAAAAGAATCTATAGTTCAACGCTAATCCTATCACACTTCTAATGTAATTTTTCACAGAATTAGAAAAAGCTATTCTAAATTCATATGGAACCAAAAAAGAGCCCAAATAGCAAAAAGAACAAAGCCACAGGCATCACATTACCTGACTTAAAACTGTACTATAAAGCTACACTAACCAAAACAGCATGTCACTGATACAAAACCAGACACATAGTTCTGGTTCTTTCATGGTTCTGTTCATGTCTTTGCCCATTTTTAATGGAGTTATTTATAAACACAATTAGAAATTACAAAGGTGACCTTACAACCAATCCCACAGAAAGAAGATCCTCAGAAATTTTTATGAACACCTCTATGCACACGAACTAGAAAATCTAGAGGAAATGGATAAATTCACATAAACACACAACCTTCCAAGATTGAATTAGGAAGAAATTGAAACACTGAACAGACAAATATCAAATTCCAAAATTAAATGTTCCAATGGAACAGAATAGAGAACTCAGAAATAAAGCCACACACCTACAACCACCTGATCTTCAACAAAGTTGACAAAAATAAGCAATGGGGAAAGAACTCCCAACTCAATAAATGAGTGCTGGGATATCTGGTTAGCCATATGCAGAAGAATGAAAGTGGACCCTTACCTTAAGATAGATTAAAGATGTAAAAATAAGACCTCAAAGTATAAGAATCACAGAAAAAAACCTAGGAAATACCATTTTGGACTTTGGCCTTGGGAAAGAATTTATGACTAAGTCCTCAATGGCAATTGCAACAAAAACAAAAATTGACAAGCGAGACCTATTTAAATGAAACTCGTCCATTAAAATAGGCTCAAGAAAAAGAAACTAGCAACAGAGTATTCAGACAATCTATAGAATGGGAGAAGATATTCGAAAACTAGCCATACAAGAAAGGTGTAATATCCAGAGAATCTATAAAAAGCCTAAACAATTGAACAAGCAAAGAAATAAATGAATGAATGAATAAACAAATAAATAAATAACTCCATTAAAAATGGGCAAAGACATGAACAATCACTTATTAAAAGAAGACATATAAGCAGCCAATAAACACATGAAAAAAATGCTCCACATCGTTATCAGAGAAATGCAAATCAAAATCACAATGAAATACCATCTCACATCAATCAGAATGGCTATTAAGAAAAGTAAAAAAAATAACAGATGCTGGCAAAGCTGTGGAGAAAAGAAACACTTATACACTGCTGGTGGGAATGTAAATTAGTTCAGCCGCTATGGAAAGCAGTCGGGAGATTTCTCAAAGAACTTAGAACTACCAACAATTCCATTGCTAGGTATATACCCAAAGGAAAACACATTGTTCTACCAAGAAGACACATGCGTTTGTATGTTCACTGCAGTGCTATTCACGATAGCAAAGACATGGAATCAACCCAGGTGCCCATCAATGGTCGATTGGATGAAGAAAATGTGGTACATCTACACCATGGAATATTACACCATCATAAAAAAGAATAGAATCATATCCTCTGCAGCAACATGGATGCAGCTGGAGACTGTTATCCTAAGCAATTTAATTCAGGAACAGGAAACCTAATACTGCCTATTCTCACTTATAACTGGGAACTAAGCATTGGGTACACATGGACATAAAGATGGGAACAACAGACAGTGGGGACTACTAGAGTGGGGAGAGAAGAAGCAGGGCAAGGGCTGAAAAACTACCTTTTGGGTACTATGCTCACTACCTGCGTGACAGGATCATTTGTGCCCCAAACCTCAGTGTAATGCAAATGCCCATGTAACAAACCTGCACATGTACTGTCTGAATCTACAATAAAAGTTGAAATAACTTTTAAAAAATCCCAAACTCAGAAAACACTCTCATGACATCTTTATTTCTCCAATGCTGCTCCCCCAACTTATTCTTTTTAGCACTCATACCAGATTGATGGTTCATACGGAGCCTGTAGTTCACTAACCGCCACTGCCCACACCCATTCCATGTGAGCTGCTATCAAATCTCACCTTCTCCATCCTTCTCATATGCAAATTAATTTTAAAACTAAATTCTCACTGTACATTTATGTCCGTTCTATTTTATTTGATTTGATTCCAATCTTGGACATATTCCTGTTGGAAACTGTATAAATTTGATACATAAAATGTATTAGCGCTTTTTCCTGGCCTTGAGTCATATACGATCTTTATTAATGCGGACTTTGATTTAAATGTAAACTTACATTCAAATGTGGCTCTGACACAGTATGACTTGGTATAACTTTCTTATCTTTACTGAGATTAATTTTCTCATTAATAGAAAAGCAATAATATCTATCTTGTAGGGCTATTGTTCGTTATTTTCAAAAAACATTGGAGCATAGAGAAAATTAATTAAGATAACATGTGAAAATGCCTTCACAATAGCCACTCTGTAGTGTAATGGAAGTGTGGTTTTAAACATCCAATGAGCTTTCCTTTTGTGTTTTACCAAGTGCCAGACCTTTGCCCTGGCTCACCTCAGCATCCGTCTGCCTAAAGTGATATTGGGATTTGTTACAGCTGAAAGGCAGAGAGAAAAGGCAATCAAAATAAGATTATGCAGCAAAAGAGTCATTTTCCCAGGCCAACTATTGCACTGAGAAAATGATTTGTTCTTCCACATTTCTTTTTTCTCCTTCTACAGTCTATGGGAATTCTCAATAAACAGCATTCTCCTATAGTGCAGGAGAGAGAGAGCTTGTCCACCATTAGGGCTTACCTGGAATTAGAAAGGAAATCATGGCACAGATAAAGTTCAAACAAACAAACAAACAAAAAGCCTGTCCTCTTTCCAGTCCTAGGGTCTATGGGAAGAAGTAAAAACATGAAACAATCAGATAGTGAGTTACATGTTTCCTGATTTCTCTGCTTTGTACTTTGGCCCGGAAGGGAGAAGGTAGTTTAAATAACAGAAGGGAGACCCCGATGGCATAAGGTCTTTTCCTTCTGCTCATCTGGGATGTTGAGAGGAGACTGACTTACAAACTCTCCTACACCCATGTGGAACAAAGGAAGAGGAAGCCTAGATGGTCCTGTGCCAGCAGGGATACCACCAGAAAGAGGCCAGCTCAGACATCATTTCAGCCTCATGTTTCAACTCCTAATGTTAGTCCAGAGGAAACAGAAGTCACTCCCCAGAACAACTGACACTATCCTGCTGCCATGGAAGTGTCTTAGCCATACATTCTCTCTACACTCAGAGATAACTTAGGTTCAAAATTGGAAGAGCATTTCTTTTAAATGGGACTACTTATATTAACATAATAGAGTAAATTCAAACAGAAGTGTATTCATAGTTAAATTTTTATCTACTTATCAGTAGATAGAGGCTCATAAAGAGAATAGCTACACATAAGATAAACTTTTTATCTTTGCACAACCAGGATGTAGTATAAGATGGGTTTTTTAATCCCTCTTCAGTAGAAATTTAATAAATGTTAATTTCTCATCTTTCAATTTTTCTCTGTCAGCAAATTAAAAAAATTGTTTCATAGCCCCAGTCTAAATATAGGATGATGGTACCTTTTCATTGAGGATAAATGAAGGCTTGCCCTTGATAATTTCCACTTTTGCCTTTGTATTTTCAATTTATTTCTTTGTTATTTTTTTGTTTTAAGCTAGAAACAACTCAAATCGGCTTAAGCAAACAAAAAGGCTATTTAAAAAATCTGTGTAACTGAACATTCTAGGGTCTTTTTTCAGGTATAGTTGGCTCTGGGTTTATGGTATGTGAGGACTTGGTATTTATTCATTTAATCTTTCAGCTTTACTTTACACATATGGGCCTCAAGCCCAGACTGGCTGCCTCCAGGTGGTGACCCTTAGCAGTTCCAGGTTAACATTCTACCAGTGTCAAGGACAGTGCCAAAAGAATGCTTTGATGCCAGAAATTTGAAAAAAAAATATATATTTTTATATATATATTTTATATATTATATATAATAAATTATATATATTTTATATATTATATATAGTAAATTATATATATTATATATATTATATATAATAAATTATATATATTATATATAATAAATTATATATATTATATATAATAAATTATATATATTATATATATTATATATAATATATTATATATATTATATATTATATATAATAAATTATATATATTATATATTATATATAATAAATTATATATTTTATATATTATATATATTATATAATATATATTTTATATATTATATATATTATATAATATATATTTTATATATATTATATAATATATATTTTATATATTATATATATTATATAATATATATTTTATATATTATATATATTATATAATATATATTTTATATAATATATATATTATATAATATATATTTTATATATTATATATATTTTATATTTTATATATTATATATTTTATATTTTATATATATATTATATATATAATATATATAATACGTATTATATAATATATATATAATACGTATTATATATATAATACGTATTATATATATAATATATATATAATACGTATTATATATATTATATATATAATATATATATTTATATATATTATATATATAATATATATAAATATATATATTATATATATAATATATATATAATATATATATAAATATATATATTATATATATATCCTGGAACTGTCCAATTGGCATGTCTGGGATCTCTTGCCTACCCTTGAGACAATTGCTCTAGCCAGGGGGATGGAATTGCCTACATGGTCACGCCCGAGTCGGGTACCCACCTGTAGAGCCAGGGAGTCAAGTCAGCTTCATCTGAACCACATGGATTAAAGGTGGGAGGAAACAGTTTCCCAAGGAAATCAGGTTGCTGTCATCAGAAGAGGGGACTGGGTGCTGGGCAGGAAAACCCCGCACACTGTGCACACCATATGCTTTCACCAGCAGTTTGTCCATAGCTCACTATCTGTGATTCCCAAATGTTCCCCTTGGAAGGTTCTGCTACGTAGGTTCACCTTAGAATGTTCGTCACAGAAGTTTCTCCAGAAAGATTTCATGATTGCAGCTGCTATTTCTTTCAGTAGCATGTAGTGTGATTTGAGAGGCCTGAACAGCCTTGAGTTTCCCTAGTCTTGACTGGGGAATGGTCTTCGCCTCTCTGGAAAAGGCCACCTCCCCGATTGAATATTCCACCATGGGAAGTGGTGAAATGGCGCCCTGAGACCCCGGGGGAGCATCCTTCCCCATCCCGGCCCGTGGAACCAGCAGGTGGCAGATGTGGCAGCAGAGCCTCCTCACCTTGTACTCAAGGCCCTCTTACTTGTGTAGAGCTCAGCTTCCTGGTCTATGGACTTACTTTGCCTTTTCTGTATGAAGGCCATCCTCGATGAACTGTAAAGCCAATCAGTGTTGAATGAGTGAGGAAAAAGCGGAATGAAAACAGTAAATAAGGAGTTGCCTTCTCTGTATTAATATTAGAATCTCTGCCTCAGCCGTAGAGAAAATCATTGACGTGCTTGCTAGAAGCAGCTCTGAAAGACGTTTTTGTAAAACGCTTTTTATCCCGTCAAAGGCTCAGCTCATTTGGGGCTAAGGCTTCCTGCATCCACCATGGGCTTGAACGTGAGGCTTGGAAAAAGCGGAGACAACGTTGGAAAGAATGAGGCCTGAGAACGAGTCAGTGCCGCCTCATCCGCGTCACCACATCCCTGTAGGATGCAGTGTCTTCATTCGTAAAACAAGGGTGTTGGACTACTGTATCTTGAGGGTCCCTTGGCGCTGAATTTCCATCTTTGAGAGACAATGGCACTCTTACCTTTGAGCTTTTGGGAGAAATCCCTGTGAATGTGCCCTGGGGTCTTGCATGCCTCTCAGCATTCTCCTTGGGAGGTCACAGGCGCCGGTCTCATCAGGTGAGAAGGACAAAAGCAGCCCTGGCCGCCGTCAGCTGAGAGCTGGCCCGTGCTACTCAGCCAGGGCGTTGAACACGCCAGGGGATGCCACAATCAGATGCGCGTGCTCAGTGACCCAAGGAGCTGAGGCCAAAGGGAGATCTTCCGCAGTCAAAGCTGAGTGCATATCAGAACACTGCACACAGCACAGAAATGACCAGCTTTCCCCCTCCCAGCTAACAGGGCTTGTCTGCTCCAAATTTAGCCCTGCTCCACTCTTGCTACCTACTAGATAAAAATTATTAAAATATCCAACTATTAAACTACCTCTACTTCCTGACAGTGTCCATTCCAGAGCAAAATTCTGCTTTCTTAAGCCCTGAAGAGAATTAACACAAGCCCAAATCTCTAAGGACCCCTCACCCCCTGCCACCCCATTCCCCATGGTATTAGCATATAAGCCCACCTTTGACTCCAGGTGTGTCCCTGGTGGTCTTTGGTTGGTGAGTTTGACAGAAGTGTCCAGCTCTCTCACAGCATTTTCATCTTCGTTTTTGAGTAGAATATCACAGCCTCCTTTTTCTGGAATCACACTTTCAGAATGCTGGAGTAGGTGTCAGACCAGATTCTGTTTTCTCTTCCTGGATTATTATACTACAGAAGGACTGGTCACTTTGTGGCTATTCCCTCTATTTCTCCCACGTCATTAAAACTGTATTTTCCTTCTGGAGCTGAATCAGTCAAAAGGCATGTTTCCTCTCCTGAATTTTGCTATCTTCCAACTCTAGCTTCAATACAGGAGCATTGGGGTATTTAATATCATAAATATCAGTGCCAGGATTTTACCCTCAGACTCTCTAAGTGGCGTTAGTGGAGCTCAGCCACCTAATAATTTTTTTAAAAACTTGCCAAGTGACTCTAATACATAGGCACTGTTGCAGATTATTGTTCTAAGAAATGAAACTGCCAGCATGTTCAACTTCTGCTTGAAGTTGATGATTTCAGGTATTACCTTGCATCTCCCTCATCCCCCATCCCCAAGCCAAAATCCTCTCTGTCCAGTCTCCAATCCCTAAAGCAGCTTGTCTCTCTAACCCCAACCTCCGCGTCCCTCACTCTTGGCTATCCTGGTGTTGTGAATCGTGCACCTTGCATCTCATGCTCCATTTTGCATTCCTGAGTTGGGCTTTGACTTCCATTCAGAGTTTCCCTTTCAGCCAAATGTGTATACCCCACCCCACTGAGGGCACTGGAGCCCTGACTTCTTATGATTTTGTCACTTCTTGAATTTTCAGCCAGTGCTACAATCCCTGCTCTCAAGGATAATCTCTAACATTATCTAATTATCTAGATTATCTAAGGATAATCTCTAACATTATTGCATTCTCTCTCCTTTGTCTTTTAAATGCATGGTTGTGTGAATTTCTATTCAAAAGTTTTGTCTGAACTGTGACTGGAGAACGCTGAAATTCTTGGAGCCCACACTTTGGCTGCTCAGCTCAGCCCCAGAAGCTGGCTTGACTTCCTGCAGCACCAGTCCCTCCAGTGGATTCACATGGGTGGTGCTGAGCACAGGAAAGTTGACTTTATACTCCAGTTTTCTGGGGACAGCCCTGTTTACACCTGCTTATGTGGTGTAATTACTACACATCTCCAGAGTGTCTTGGTTTGGATAATAAATTATATGATCACGGAAGATGCAGGGCCAAGTGTGATCTGTTGTGTTTTGCAGTCTTGGTTCAACAAGTCCTGAAAAATGACAGAATGAGTTTTCTAACAGTTGTCCTAACAGCCCAGTTCCCCCATCACCAGACCAGGATACTTGTCTCTTGCTTGTTTTGTGAAAAGAGTTTTGCCTCTATTTCTCATGTGACACACAAATACAGAAGATACGACTTTTCTTTCTTTCTTCTTTTGGGAATAGGTAATCTATGAAAGGATGGGAGGGATTTGAGGCCTTCCATATTTATATGTTTATTTTTCTGAGTTTCTCATACTTTTTTCTTTTTTTCATGTAGATCCATCTTTCATTCTATTTTTATTCATATTTATACTTCTTTTTAATCTTATTGTTTCAATTTATTTTGCATAAAACAAATTCTATTTTTTTCCAGTTCTATTGCTTTTCCTATAATTCCAGGAATATTTTTGGTTACCTTAAAGCAATATTTATTCATTTAGCAGAGAGTTCCTCTGGGATATAGTACCATAACCCAATTTTAGTCTTTATCTAAAATTAATGGAGTCAATTTTGTGAAGCCATCTTTCAAGAATGATGCACCCCATTTTATTCTCTATTTTCTGTTGTATTTATAGCATTTGTAGTTTGCAACACACAATTTAGTGCTTGTTCACTGCTGAGTTTCTTTCTCTGCTTTGTGCTTGTTAGTATTCTTTCTTCCTCTAGATTTTTGAGCATGTTTTGGCAGGAGATAGGTTTTCTGCTTTTGTGTGTGTCCACATTAGTTATGAATGCAGTGCTGGACACATAACCAAGGATCAAAGAATATGTGCACCTCCATGGTTAGTTTCTCTAAATTCAATAACTGCAGCATACACATTGTTTTCTCTTACGTGAAAAGTCTCCAGATCCTTATTCTTTCATTGCTATTCCTTCTGCATTCACAGTTCAACATCATCTTCATTAAATCTCATTTCTGATATCTCCTGTTGGTGGGTACTTATTTCAGCCTTTTAAAAATTTTATCAGATTTTTCTGATAAAAATCTCACACCAACTCCCTTCTAAGCTTCGAGTTTTTAACTTAGTCTGTTTAACTAACTCTCTGCCTAGTTAACTAACTCTAGTCAATATGGAACATTTGGCGGTTGATTATTAGCCCATTTCTTGTGCAAATGTTTATATCTTTTGACATTTTTTTTACTTCATATAAATAGCACATTATGTATGTTCTTATTTCTACTGTCTGATGAGTTCTCTGTGCAGCCCCGTTATGGTGATTGGCTTGTATCAGCCAAAATGTTTTGTTTCTAATGCAATTTTCTTGGATTCCCCATGAATTGATGGGGTGACTCACAGCTGGATAATGATGGTTCATTGGCAGATTCATTTTATTTTATGTTGTCTCCTCCACCTTTGCTTCAGATGGCCTGCAACATATTCATAGGATCTGCGGAGCCCTGAATATTTGGCTATATTACTTCCTCCCACATACATTGTCACCCAATGTGACAGAATGACAGGGTAGCCCTGGGATAGTAAAAGCAGAGAGGCAATATTAGCATTAAGAGGTAATATTATTATTTACACAGTGTTATCATTTGAAGGTGCATAAGGTTGACACAGTAATCGCAAAAGGTTTAAAAGCACAATGACAGAACCTGTAATGTTTATTAACAGGCAAAGATAAATGATAATTTAGTGGTTGAAATGCTGGGGCTGAACACAATCAATTTAGATTAGATGCACATTACCAAATTGAATACCTTTTATTTCTGCATAATGTTGTATCATGAATCAGAATTTTATTTATAACACTTGACTACAGAGGCAATTGAAATTCTGAGTTCACCCTAAATTACTTATTAACAGAAAAAGTACAACAGGTTTTCATATTTCAAAACACACTAGGTTACTTAAAGGTAACTATTTAATCATAGTTTAAAGAAATGTGGACAGCCAATGAATTTAATTTCACCTGGGGATAATGTTTCACAATGTCAGAGGGAGAACTTCCCTATATCACGCTGGAACCATGACAATTCACTTTTTATGTATGGATAAAGGGTGATACAATGAACAGTACTTGCCTAGCAAAAAGGAAATCATAGAATACACATGATGGTAAAAGACGGTTGGTATTAAGTTGGACTAACTTGCAGAGAAAAGGTTTCGAAATATTCAATGACAATGATATCTGGCATAATCCAGAAAGCAATACAACTTTCCTGGGGCCTCCCAGGAAGGGAAGCTGCCAGTGGGGACTTGGGATTTGTGGGATATTCATGAATGTATTTAGCGAGGGAGCGTTACATCAGATGTGAACTGTCAGTTCAGAAAGACCAACCCGTGGAGCAGATGTGTCTGATCTACAGGGGAACTGACTGCCTTGAATTAAGTATATTTCCTGCTAAATCAAATATCTTAAAATTTTTCTGTTGAAAGTAATTTTTTTTTTTTTGAGATGAAGTTTTACTCCGTCACCCAGGCTGGATTGCAGTGGCATGATCTTGGCTCACTGCAACCTCTGCTTTCCAGGTTCAAGCAATTCTCCTGCCTCAGCCTCTGGAGTAGCTGGGATTACAGGCACCCGCCACCACACCTGACTAATATTTTGTATTTTTAATAGAGACAGGGTTTTACCATGTTGGCCAGGCTGGTCTCAAACTCCTGATCTCAAGTGATTAGCCCTTCGTGGCCTCCCAAAGTGCTGGGATTACAGGTGTGAGCCACCGCACCCAGCCAGTAATATTCAAGTCATTCTGCCATATGTTACTCTACTACTTCCACTTAATACATCCTACTGGTATCCAAGAGGATCTATTAATACTGAAATACTATTTAAAGCAAATGTACATGGTACATCCAACAATTACTCATCACCACTATCCCCTCTTCATTACGATTATTGAAAGCATCTGCATGTGATGAATTTCAAAGCACAGCTCAGAGGGATTGAAGTGATTTCTAGAAACATATTTTTAAAGACACAGCTTAGAGAGACTAGAAAATGTTAAGCTTGTCTGTTTAAGAAACTCCACACAAATACAAGAATTTATAACATTCGTCCGGGTATGGTGGCTCCCACCTGTAATCCCAGCACTTTGGGAGTCCGAGGCAGGCAGATCACTTGAGGTCAGGAGTTCAAGATCAGCCTGGCCAACATGGTGAAACCCCTTCTCTACTAAAAATACAAAAAATTAGTTGGGCATTGAGGCTGAGGCAGGAGAATTGTTTGAACCCGGGAGGCAGAGGTTACAGTGAACCGAGATTGCGCCACTGCACCACTCCAGCCTGGGAAACAGAGCAAAACTCCATCTCAAAAAAAAAAAAAAAAAAAAAGAAAAGAAAAAAAAGAAGTTATAACAATAACATTATAACATTCTAGGGCATATTACATTAAGAAGAAGTGCGTGAATCATAAAATAGGTTGGGGCATTGTAAAGCACTTAAATTCATATTAAAATTGTTTTTTCTCATTACTGGGCTACTATTTTTCTTTTAAAACATATTTAGTTAACTTTTATAATATAAAATTTCAGTTAGGTAGGAAGTAGATACAATAATAAATATTTCCATCTTAGCCTCTTCTATACTTTCTATCAAATTTACTTTATTGAAGATTTTCTTCTTTGCTTTAACCACTTCGTTCATGATCCCAGAATTTACTATCTTAATGTCTTAGAGATTCTTTATTGTCTAAGAAGTTGCTTTCATTTACTCATTTTTTACAAGCAAGACCCCTAATGTCCAGCTTTCCTGTGTTGTAGCAATTTCTTAACGTTTTGCTATGGAGTGACTAGCATTTGGATTAGCCTATTGGTCATTTTCTTACTTCCACTTATCTTGACTCTTCATTAATCCCCTATTTTTCCTTCTGTTGCTCCCTACTCCCACACTCAAATAATTACTGTTTTATTTTTACCCCAAACTTTCTCATGTTAAATGAATCCCGTTTGACCCTGTTACCCCCAGATTCAATTCTATTTCAGAAACATTCAGGGTCTCTTTGTTTCTTCATATCTCTCAAACTTCATACGTTATGATTTATTTGAGGTATTAAATTCCTCTCACCTGTTTTATTACTATATCCATGCATCTCCCACATCAATTTCTTTTTAATTCTGTTTTACACATGTAGTGTCTTTACTTTATAAGATACTATACCTAAACACCATTCGGAAAGACAGAGCATGAACAGTTTTGCCAAATATGAAGAAAAGAAGTGAACAGGGTGATGGGAGTGAGAGCAGGGAATTTTAGAGTTTACAGTTAAAAAAAATCTGCAACCACTTATTTGGGGCCCGAATGATTATTCTCATATTATGTGATTTAAAAAGGACTCAGAAAGGTAAGTGAGTTTAATTAATGTCATACAACTCGTAAGTGGCAACATATGGATATAAAATGAAAAATTCCTAATTTGACAGTCATTGTCTTCCCTTTAGATTGCGCCACCTTCTTCTGTGGACAAATAGATTCCAAATCTCCTGGCTTCTGGTTCTTTGTGGCACACTTTAGCTCACTGACACATGTTGCCAAAGGTGGTATAACAGGCTGAAGGTGAACTGCCTTTGAGGTAAGGCTGGATACCATTTCAAGGGCAGGCGTGGAACAGTAGTTATCATGAGTCAAACAGTTATGCTTTTAACACTAAATTCCAGGATTATTCTAATAGAACCCTTGTGTTCCTCTAGGGGATGAAATTGGAGCATAATCCTGATCGAAGCCCCTCCATATATTCTAGTTTTAAATGAGTGTGACAATAGAAGTCCTTGGGAGTTTATAACCTAGGACGACTGGTAGGGAATTTAAGCAAAGTGAATACAAATATTGCTTAAAAAATGAAAGGAGACTCAAATTCAATGATAAGAAAACATAAAAATTAAAATGGCACTGGTTTCCCGCTTAGGGTGTTTTAAAAATTAAAATGTTACTCGTAGGAGTAAGAGATGTTTGGTTAGATTGTCCTTTATAGGGAGTGGGCCCAATACCTTCAGTTTGTGAGCTATGATGGATGTAAGACCCCAGTGGCTTAAAGAGTGAATGGGGAATGAAGGTGTGAGTGGAGCAGTCCTAGCCTTTTATTTTGTGTAACCTGGCTACAAAGAGAAATTAAGAAAAAGAGCAGGTTTTAAGGAGACACAAAAATAAGAGAGTGATTTTTTTTCCTTTAAAATTTTAATGTTAGATTATCAACATGTTTCTAGACTATGGTACAGAAGTTAGGAGAGGGTAGTTTAGCTTTTGGTAATAGATGTTAGGTAATTTAGATTAATATTTTATGAGAATTAGAAAACTTAGACCAGAAATAATCTTCTTAAAGATCTAACAATGCAAGGAAGAATTCTGAGGCCACGATCTCATGGAAGACAGAAACCTACAAAAGTGATCATAGGTGTTTCACTAGGGATATCTACTGATTTCAGGAGATATAATTAAGAGGCTGAGAAGCTGAGAAGTTTTTGCTAGACTATTACAACTAAGCTTATATGAAATAGAGTCCAAAAACCACAGAAGTCCAATGTGTCTGGCAATTAATGAGACTTTGGGTAGGGAATGAGAAGAACAGCATCTTAGAAGTAAGAGATTTTTGGTTAGATTCATCTCTATTGGTACTATATCCCTTATTGGCTGATGTTATCCTAAATTGCTAATGCTGTTAGCCACCTGCCAGAAATAAACTTATATTTTCCCTGGAGGAAGAGCAGCACAATTCTGGTCATAAAATTATTTATAAAATAAAATTTCAAGCATTCAGTCAAAAATAAATGATCAAAGAGACATGAAAACATGATCAAAATTCAAAAGAAACAGGTAAGGGCAAGAGATTACATGAAAATCACATAACAGAGTAATCAAAGATAGACTGTAAAATATTCTTTAAATTTTCGAGGTCATAACAAATAAGAAAGAGAATTAGAATTGAGAATTATGACAGAGAATAAGAAATTAAAAATAGAAATTTTAGAACTGAAAAAATACAACAATCACAGATAAGATGTCAATGAATGAATTCAATAGCATCTTAGACACAACTGAAGAGATAATTAATAAATCAGAAGATAGATATATTGATTTTTTGAGGCAGGTGGATCACTTGAGGTCAGGAATTCCAGATCAGCCTGGCAACATGGAAAGACCCCATCTCTACTAAAAATACAAAAATTGGCCAGGCATGGTGGCACACACCTGTAATCGAGAGGCTGAGGCAGGAGAATCACTTGAACCCAGGAGACAGAGGTTGCAGTGAGCTAAGATGGTGCCGCTGCACTCCAGTCTGGGTGACAAAGCAAGACTGTCTCAAAAAACAACAAAACAAAATAAAACAAAAACAAAAAAACAAAAAACAAATCTCCTGATTTTTGTATGTTGACATTGTATCCTGCAACTTTACTAAATTTATGTATTGGTTCTAACAGTTTTTTGGTGGAGTCTTTAGGATTTTATATATACATGATCATGTTTGCAAACAGGGACAACTTGACTTCCTCTTTTTCAATATGAATGTTCTTTATCTCTTTCTGTTGCCTAATCGTTCTGGCTAAAACCTCTCATACTGTGTTAAATAAAAGTTGTGAAAGTGGGCATCTTTGTCTTATTCCATATCTTAGATGAAAAGGTTCTGACTTTTCCCCATTTAGTACAATGTTAGTTGTTGGTTGCATTGTATGTCCTTTATTGTATTGTGGTATGTTCCTTCTGTACCCAATTTGTGGAGAGTTTTATTTATCATGAAGTGACATTGGATTGTATCAAATGCTTTTTCAGCATTTATTGAAATAGTCATATGGTTTCTGTCCTTCATTCTGTTGATGTGCTGTATCACAGTTATTGATTTGTATATGTTGAACCATCCTTGCATCACTGAGATGAATCCCACCTGATCATGGTGAATAAGCTTTTTAACATGTTGTTGAGTTTAATGTGTTGCTAGTATTTTGTTGGAGATTTTTGTACCTATCTTCATCAGGTATACTGACCTTTAGTTTTCTTTCTTTCTTTCTTTCTTTTTTTTTTTTTTTTTCCTTGTTTGGTTTTAGTATTAGGGTAATGCTGGGCTCGTGGAATGAGTTTGCAAGTATTCCCTCCTCTTTTTTGGGGGAGGTATAATTTGAGTAGAATTGTTATTAGTTCTTCTTTAAATGTTCAGTAGAATTCAGCAGTGACATCATTATGTCCCGAGCTTTTCTTTGACAGGAGACTTTTTATTATTGCTTTGATCTTATTACATATTATTGATCTGTTCAGGATTTCTATTTCTTTAGGATTCAATCTTGGTAAATTGTACATGTCTAGGAATCTATTTCTTCTAGAAGAAATCAAGAACAATACCGTTTACAATAGCTACAAAAATAAACCTAGAAATAAACTTAAACAAGGAGGCGAAAGATCTCTGCAATAAAAACTATAAAACATTGATAAACAAAATTGAAGAAGACACAAATAAACAAAGATACCTCATGTTTGTGGATTGAAGGAGGTATATTGTAAAAATGTCCATGTCACCCAAAGAGATCTAGAGATTCAATGCAATTCCTATCAAAATATCAATGACTTTCTTTACAAAAAGAGAGACAATAATCTTAAAATTCATATGGAGATACAAAAGACCTTAGATAACCAAAGTAATTTTGAGCAAAAAGAGCAAAGCTGAAAATATCACACTACCTGACTTCAAAATATACTAAACAGCTATAGTAACCAAATCAGCATGGTATTGACCTTAAAAAGACACATAGAGCAATAGAAAAGAATAAAAAACCCAGAAATTAATCCATGCATTTACATTTTTGTTTGATTTTAAACAAAGGTGCCAAGAACAGATTTCAGGGAAAGGATATTCTCTTGAATAAATGATACTGGGAAAATCAAATAGCCAAATGCAGAACAATTAAACTAGTTACTTATCTCTCTATATAAAAATCAACTTTAAACGAATTAAACACTTAAATATAAGACCTGAAACTGTGAAAATACTAGAAGAAAACATTGGGGAAATACTTTATAAAATTGAACTGGATGAGAGTTTTGGGATAAAACCTCAAAAGCACAGGTAACAAAAGCAAAAATAGACAAACATTACATTAAACTAAAAAGCTTCTGCAAAGCAAAGGAAACAGTAAGAGTGAAGAGACAGCCTACAGAATAGGAAAGAGTATTTGCAAATTCTGCATCTTACAACATGTTACTATCCAGAAT
This sequence comes from Homo sapiens, assembly GCF_000001405.40. Lineage (NCBI taxonomy): Eukaryota > Metazoa > Chordata > Mammalia > Primates > Hominidae > Homo > Homo sapiens. Next base: position 155,719,256 of record NC_000006.12, read on the forward strand.
ATGAAAGAAACTCAAACAACTTAATAGCCAAAAAAACCCCAAAACAAAACAAAACAAAAAAAACTCCAAACAATCCGATTTAAAGTGGGCAAAAGACTCATATAGATATTTCTCAAAAGAAGACATACAAATGGCTAACAGCTATATTAAAAAATGCTCAACATCACATACTATCCGGGAAATGCAAATCATAAATCACAATGAGATATCATCTCACCCCAGTTAGAATGGCTATTATAAAAAAGACAAAAAAATAACAAATGCTATTGAGGATGTGGAGAAACAGGAACTCTTATATACTGTTGGTGGGAATGTAAATTACTACAATTATTATGGAAAACAGTATGGAGGTTCTTCAAAAAACTAAAAAGCCAGAACTATCATATGATCCAGCAATCTCATTACTAGGTGTATAGTCAAAGGAAATGAAATCAGCATGTTGAAGATATACGGCACTCCCATGTTTACCACAGCAGTATTCACAATAGCCAATATATGGTTTCAACCTAAGTGCCCATCTATAGATGAATGGACAAAGAACATTTGGTATGTGTGTGTGTGTGTATATGTATATACACACATATCTCTTTAGTATATATGTATATACATATATACATTTATGTATACAATTATGTATATATGTATATACATATATACATTTATGTATACAATTATGTATATATGTATATATGTGTATATATATGAAAATAGATATATATATATAAAATGGAATACTATTCAGCTGTAAAACAGAATGAAATCCTGTCATTTGTAGCAACATGGATGAACCTGGAGGACATCACATTAGGTGAAATAAACTAGGCAAAGAAAAATAAACACCGCATGATCTCACTCATACATGAAATCTAAATATGTTGATTCTACAGAAGTAGAGAGTTAGAATAGTGGTTACCAGAGGCTGGGAAGAGTAGGGGGAAAGGAAGAATGGGGAGAGATTGGACAAAAAGTACAAAGTAACAGGAAGAATAAGTTTTGGTGTTCCATTACACAGTAGGGTGACTGTAGCTAATAATAATGTATTATGGCTCTAAATGTATTGTAGCTGTAATGTATTATAACTCTAAATAGTCAAGATAGCTTGACTATTATCATCCTAAAGAAGTGATAAATATTTACAGTGATGGACATTCTAATTACCCTGATTTTATCATTATACAATGTATACATGCAGTTAAAATCACACTGTACCCCATAAATATGTACAATTATGATGTACACATAATAAATACAACAAAAAATGAAGAATATTCATACAAGAAAATACCCAAAACAAAGCATGGAGAGAAAAATAAAGCATGGAGAGAAAAAACCACAGACGAGAGGCAAGAAATATCTAATATACAAATAAGGAAGCCTTAAACTAATATCATTGGAATCTCAGGAAGAAAAGAGAGAATGAGTTAAAACCAATATTTGAGAATTTTCTAAAATTAACATAAGACATTAAGTCACAGACTCAAGAATCCCGAATATGGCAAATACAATGATTACCGCATTTAGAAATATCAAAATAAAACCAAAGACAGAAAAATCTTAAAAGGCAGATAGAGGCGAAAAATATTATCTTGAAAGGAACAACCATTCAATGGAGAGAGATCTTAACAGAAACAAGAAAGCCAAAGACTGTGGAATGAATCCTGATCACCTTGGAGCAGACCTTGAATTTCACCACCAATGAAAATACCCTTGAAGAATGAAGGTTAAGAATAAAAAATTTCAGATAACAAAAACAGAGGAATTTATCATCACCAGATCTACACTAATGTTAAGTACCAAACAATGTTTTTCAGGCAGACGATGAATGATTACAGATGGAAACTCAAGGAAGAGGGAAGGAGTGAAAAGGAAAAATATGTAACTGAATAAAAATCGGTAATTAGTGCAACAACCTACCATATATATCAAGGCAAAGGTTATTAGTAGAGATTAAGGGAGTTTTATTAATAACACTAAATGTAATTCACCAGGAAGATAAAACAATCCTAATTCTGGCTATGTATACATTGTATGTATAGGAAAGCCACACGATATATAAAGCAAAAATTAATAGAGGCAAAAGGAAAAACAGATTCCCAATCATAGCAGAAGATTTTTAACACATTTCTTTCAGTAAATGACAGAATAAGCACCTAAAAAAGTACTGCACCAGACAACTATATTCTTTTCAAAAACCAGGGAGAGATTGAAAATAGATGAGAGCAGGGGACTGCCCTTCCTCCAACAGCTCACTCCTCAGCCCTCTGGAGCTACTTGGGTATCCTCAACGTGCCGGTCTTACACATGGCACTATCACTTGAATTTCCTAGCTTTCCTCAACAGGTGAATTCTTATTAATTTTTTTCAAATACTTGGTTCAGACATAAATCCCTTGTTATTTCTCTCTTCTCTTCTGGGCTGTTTTAGAACCTGGATAATACTTGGGTTGTATTGTGGCACACGTTGCATTGCGATATAGGATTTATTTAGATCTTGCATTGTGCACTGTGACTTCTGCTAGATACCTCTAGCACAGTTCTGATATTTAGGAGATGCTCTATATGTGCTTCCGGTCTTACAGTCATGTATCACTTAACAACAAGGATACAGGCTGAAAAATGCATTGTTAGATGATTTCATCATTGTGGGAACATCATAGAGGGCACTTACACAAACCTGGATGGTAGAGCTTACTCCACACCTAGGATATATGGGACAGCCTATTGCTCCTAAGCTACAAGCCTGTATAGCATGATACTGTACTGAATACTATAGGCAACTGTAACACAATGGGAAGTATTTGTGTATTGAAACATATCTAAACACAGAAAAGATACAGTAAAAAATATGGTATTATGATCTCATGGGATCACTGTAGTATATGCAGTCAGTTGCTGACCAAAACATCTGATGTGACACATGACTCTATTTGCCAGATCACAATCATCATCTTTTCTCCCTCCTCATCTTTACTTTAAAAGTAAACATCTACCCTCAACAAATGCTCATACATAGTCCTGTACCAACAGCTAAGATAATTGAATTTTTAGAAACATTTAAAAATGTGGAGACACTGTAAATGACTGGAGTGTGTAGGAACTCACTGGCTGCATCCTGAATGTCAAGGTTAAAACCTAAGCACCAACAAATATGGAAAGTGAAAGATGAATAATTAAGAAATGGGCTAACTGTACCATTTGAAAGTTTCCATTACCAAGGCTTAATATTTAAGTAATGCTTCCTGATTTGGGCACGAAATAATTAATTACGATTAATAGTGCTTGGGAATGTATTTTCAAGTTCTGAAAAAATGATGTGGAATGTATCATAGTTTGTGAACTATGCAACTTTGTCTTGTTATTTCAGCCCATGGAGAAGAGAATATTTCTTTGTCTTTACCTCATGCAGTAGCATGCCAGGCCACTGCTGGGTCAGGCAACAAATAAGTTGTTTGTGCCTGAAAAAATAATGGTAGCCCTATCTTCTTTCAGAATAGTCATGGGAAACAATGAAAACAAAATAGCAAGTTATAAAATGGCAACTTTATTTTTTCAATAATTCTTACCTCATTTATAACTATTAACTATTTGTGTAGTTTTTCAAAATGTTTTCTGCCTACTGTATCTCTTCACTGTATCCCCAGGTTAGTGTGTTATTGAATTCATTGTGCTCAATAAAGGTTGGAGCCAATGAATAAATAAATAAAATGAATGTCTGTCTACACTAACTCTAGAATCTTAATTTTAAACCATAAAAAAAGAAAGGTGAATGTTTTCCAAACAACAACAACAAAAATACAAAAACAATTCTTATTAATTAAATGGAACATGGACTTTTGTTCCCAATTTTATTTTTGAATTCCTTTAATTTCCTCTTGTCTAAATCTTGAACACAACATGTTTAAAAACCAAATCTTAACTACTTGCCACCAAAGTGGCCGCCTTGTTTTGTCTGACAATGTGTTCCAGCTTTTCTTCTTTCAGACATCTCTTTCCACAGCCTCTCCTTTCTCTATAAGTTCTCTTAACAAGATTCCTCAATTGCCTGACACTTCTCTACTAATCTAGTAATACATCTTCATTAAAATTTTATTTTTCTTTTTGAAGAGCTTGTCTTTTCCTCCTTATCATTAAAGCTTTAAATACCCAAAGGAAAACTAGTTAATAATTTCTCAGAACATAAAATCTAAGAACTAGAAAAAAAAGATATCAATTTGTTTATTTTCTTAAGACTGTGAAATCCAGTCTTACTTACAAAAATGGAAAGCTTTTTCACACTTTACACTGTCCAGATGTCAAGGTATAACCTTTTAGTAAAACAAATAGAAAATTAATACTCCTTATTGGTGTGTAAACATTAGGCTACTTTTCTTATATTGCTGCAGGAGATATGCCAAGCTATTTGTCTTTTTAAGCTTTGCAAATGTAAAATATAGTAATGTGGTTTACTTTAGTCTATTACAAATTCACCTCACTGTCTATTAACATATCTCAACTCTAACTCAATGGCACTTCTACCTGTATTATTCATTTTTCATTATCCCATAATCCAGAGCTCTTGGATGAGACTCCGTAAAACACAACTATTAGGTCCAAACTCAGGGATATTCATCTGTTGGGACGCGGATTAAATCATCAAGTTATTTCAGCAGGCTAAACCAACTGCCACTCAATTGTAGTGTGCGTTTCCTACCAGTGCTCATTCTAACCACAATTCATGATTAAAAATTTTTGTATTCAATTCAGATTGCCTCTGGCACCAACCTGAATTAACTTGCCAAAGTACTGTGCATTTTTAGTTACTTAGCCAATAAACTGGCAGCCTAAGTCTCCTCCTGTATATTGTGATCTAAATGAGGCTTTACAAGCCTCAATTTTCCCCAAAGAGAGTTCACACTGAGCTGAAGACAAAAAATTTTCACATTTTATCAGTCTCAGGTCAGAACATCATCTGTCAAAATCAATTGTCTTTTTTCTCACTTTTCTCGTTATTAAAAATTCCAGCAGAATATGTATGAGGTGAAGCCACAGAACAAACTTGGTAGCCTGGAAAGTTTTAGAGTTTTAAAGTCAGCTCAGTGTCAGGGCAAAAAGAACAGAATATAGGTATGAGTTACTGTGGTTCATCAGAATACTTTAAAAAATATCGGTAAGTTAGAAACACTTAACTATTCAGTAGTAGGAGATGAGTTAATTAGATTATATTGCATGCATTCAGTGGAATGCTATGTGATCATTAAAACTAATGATAAAACATTTTTATTGACTTGAAAGGCAAGTTATAATATAATTTATTTCCCATATATATGTGCATACAAGAAATTAAGGGAGATTACTAACAGTGATTATATCTAGGTTAGAAAATTTCAGGCAACCTTATTTTTTACTTTTCTATATTATTGATTTGTATTTTTATTAAAAATGAACACATCTACTTCTAGCCACAATAGAGAAACAAGAACCAGATCTCCTTTTCCACTTTAAACAACTGAAAAACTAGGTAAAATATATGAACCAATGGTTTTCAGATATGGGACCACAGGCAGTGCAGGACGGTTATCTTTGAGAGAAGAAAAATGTGAGATGGGCTTCACAAGATCTCAGCTTATTGTCAGGGTGAGTTTCCAGGCAGCAGCATAAGAAAGGTGTATTACTGCATTCTCACACTGTTAATAAAGACACACCCGAGACTGGGTAATTTATAAAGAAAAAGAGGTTCAATGGATTCACAGTTCCACGTAGCTGGGGAGGTCTCACAATCATGGTGGAAGACAAAAGGCATGACTTACATGGTGGCAGACAAAAAGGAAAATGAGAGGCAGACAAAAGGGAAAACCCCTTACAAAATCATCAGATTTTGTGAGACTTCTTCACTACCATGAGAACAGCATGGGGGAACCGCCCCCATGATTCAATTATCTCCCACTGGGTCCCTCCAACAACATGTGGGAATTATGGGAGCTAAAATTCGAGATGAGTTTTGGGTGGGGATACAGCTAAACCATATCAAAAGGGAAGCCCAAATTGAGCCGGGAATATTCCTGGGTTGAGGAGACAGAGCTCAGAATTTGGGGAGTACAAGGTGGCTAGAAGTAGCAGGGCAGGATACCAGAGAGAAAGAGTGGCAAGAGAGTGAGCCCCAGAGACCTGCAGAGGAGTTCTCTGGAGTCCTCAGCTCAGCACTTCACAGCTGACGCTGTGAGGAAACTTAAAGTTAGGAAAAGAATCAAGAAAGCAATAGAGTCCCACCAGGACAGAATTACTCTTGTTTCAGTAACCAGAGTGGAAAGTTCATAATGTATAAGTATCAGTACTCAGGAGGATATTGCCTCAGTAAGGGGGCCAAATTAACCCTAGATAAAAGATTGCTCTCATCCTGTGTATCAAAGTGCCTCAGAAGGACTGATCTATTTCTAGGTACTGTACCTTAACTGTATCCAGAAACAAAGCTCAAAAATATTTAAAAGATTCAGCATCCAACAGCATAAATTCATAATGTCTGACATCTATACGGAAATTACAAGGCATGCAAGGAGGAAGGACAAACAATCTATGAGGGTAAAACTCAACCATTACAAAAGACACAGAAATGGAAAATATAATAGGATTAGAAGACTAAGACATTTTTAAAAATTGTAAATATACTCTGTATGTTCACAGAGGTAAAGCAGAGGTATGTTAAGGAGAAATATGGAAGCTAAAAAGAGGCCCAAATTAAACTACTAGATTTGAAAAATATCATGTTCAGATAAAAAAAATGTACTGGTTGAGATTAGTAGCTGATATGGTTTGGCTGTGTATCCCCACCCAAATATCATCTCGAACTGTAATCTCATGTGTTGAGGGAGGGGCCTTTAATCTTTACGTGTCGAGGGAAGGAGGTGATTGGATCATGGAGATGGTTTCTCCCATGCTGTTCTTGTGATAATGAGAGAGTTCTCATGAGATCTGATGGTTTTCTAAGTGTTTGGCAAGTTCCTCCTTTGCATGCTGACACTCTCTCCTGCTGCCTTGTGAAGAAGGTGCCTGCTTCCCTTTCTGCCATGATTATGTTTCCTGAGGCCTCCTCAGCCATGCAGAACTGTAAGTCAGTGAAACCTCTTCCCTTTATAACTTACCTTGTCTTGTGTAGTATCTTTATAGCATTGTCAGAACAGGCAAATACAGTAGCTAATAATGGCGTTAAAATGGAATAATTAAAAGTACACAAGTCATTCTAAAGAAGGGAGTAAAGAAGAAGAAGGGTATAAAGAACAGAAAGAATAAATAGAAAGTAATAGCAGGATGGTAGATTAATACATAAAGAAATCAATATTCACATTCAAGGCATATGCTTTAAACACTTAGATTAAAAGGTAGAAATGACCAGATTGGATTTAAAAAGACATATCTGAAAGATACCCATTGTATTATTAAAAAAAAATCGGCTAAAAGCAAATGTATGAACATTGATATACTATGCTAACATTGAAAGAAAATTGAAGTAGCTATATTCATATCAGGCAATGTAAATTTCAGAGCAAATAATATTGCTGATGATCATTTCATGATGACAAGAGTTTATTAATTAAGAGGTACATGTTTTATGTACCAAGTAACAGAGCTTTAAAATATTAATACATGAAGCAACACTGATAGGACTGAAAAAAATAAATGAACCTACAGTTACAGCCAAAGTTTTCAGCATTTTTTCCATCAATAATTGATCGGCCAATGAATAGAAAATCCAAGGATATAAAAGACTAATAATATTAGCAAACAGCTGACCTAACTGATATTTATAGAACCCTATAACCACCAGCAGCAAAATTATCAAGTATAGACAATATTTACCAAGATAGGCTATATTCTGAGTAATAAAAAACTCTCAATAAATTGTAAAGAATTGAAGTTATAAAAAGTATGTTTTCTGACCATAATAGGATTAAATTAGAACATAGTAACAGGAAGATATCTCGAAATTTCTGAAGCATCTGAAAAATATAACACACTCCCAAATAACCCACAAGTGAAAGAATATTAGAAAGCATTTTGAATTGAGTGAAAATTGAAATATTACACAAAAAATTGTGAAAGACGCAGCTATTCAGAGTCCAGAGGGATTTTATAATATTAAATGTTTATATTAAAAATAAATAAATACCTTAAATCTGTTATCTTACCTTCTACTTTAGGAAACTAAAAAAATAGTAAGTGAAATCCAAAGAAAGCAGAAAGGAGGAAATAATAAAGAGAAGAGCAGAAATCGAATAAATAAAAATTGCAAAAGTAATGACAAAATCAGTAGAAGAAAAGCTAGATCTTTAAAAAAGTGTCAAAATTGATAAGACATTTAAGCAAATTAGATCAGAATAAAAAGAGAAAAATAAAATTACCAATATCAGAAATGAGACAGGGCATATCTCTACATATCTTTCAGAAACCATAAAGATAATAATAGTGTGAAAAACTTTATGCCAGTAATCAAAAACTTAGATGAAATTGAGAAGTTCCTTTCTAGGCACAAACTTCCATGGCACCTTTAAGAAGAAATAGACAACCTGAACATCTCTTTATATATTAAAGGCAGAATTTATATTTGAATAACTCACAAAAGACAAAACTCCAGGTACAGGTAACTTTTCCGTTTTTTTCTACCAAGTACATTGGGAAGAAAAGAAATTATGCAAACTCTTCCAGAAACTGGGAGAGAAGAGAACACTTTCAATCTCAATTTGTGAGGGCATAATTACTCTTGTAACAAAATCAGACAAACACACAAAAGGAAAACTAAAGCCTAATATCCCCCATGAATATAAATACATAATTTCTTCAGATTTTAATGAATCAATTCCAACAATATGTAAAAAAGATAATACATGTGATCAAGTAGGGGTTATCCCATGATTACAAGTTTGGTTTAATATGTAATTCATCACATTAGTAGGCTAAAACGATATAATTTACCACATTACAAGCCAAAGGAAGAAAAATCATATGATCCTCACAATAGATATAGAAAAAGCCTTTGACAAAATCCAATGCTGATCCCTGATTAAAAAACAAACAAACAACAATAAAAAAAAACTCTCAGTAAACAAGAACTAGAGGAGAATTTCCTCAATCTGATAAAGAACATCTAGGAAAAATCTGTAGCTCCATCACTACACTTAATGGTGGAAGCCTGGATGCTTTCCCTGTAAGATTCGGAATCAGTTAATGATGTGTGCTCTTGTAGTTTATACTGTAGTGTGCTGCTGGTCCTAGCCAGTGCAATAAGGGAGGAAAACAACAACAACAAAAAAAGGTTTTCAGATTGGAAACAAAGAAATAAAACTTTCCTTTCAGATGATATACTTGTTAATGTAGAACATGTAGGAATCTACAAAATGGCTTCTGAAACTGATAAGTGACTTTACCAAGTTTGCAACGTATCGATTTAATCTATATATCAATGGAATTTCTATATACTATCAATAAGTAAATAGAAATTAAAATTAAAGAGACAATGCTCTCATAAAGACAAAATATTAGGGATATGTTGACTAAAGATATAGAAAAAGCCTTTGACAAAATCCAACGTTGGAGATGTGGAGCAACTGGAACTCTCAAACACTGACCGTAGGGATGACAAATGACACTATCACTTTGAAAAACAGTCTGGCAGTTTATTTAAAAAAGCTAAATAACCCCCACCCCCAGCATAAGACACAGATAACCTACTCCTTGATATTTACCCAAGAGAAGTGAAAACCACATGTCAGTTTGGGGCTACAATAAATAAATCTGCTATGAACATTAGTGTACAAGTCTTTGTTTACAACAAACAAAATAAGTTAGTATACTTATTTATCACAAATAAACAAAGTGTACTTATTTATCATAAATAAATAGTACACTAACTTATTTTGTTTGTTGTGAACAAAGACTTGTACACTAATGTTCATAGCACATTTATTTATCATAGCCCCAAACTGGAAACAACTGATAGATCTATCAATAGGTTAATGGATGGAGAAATTGTGGTGTGGAATATCACTCAAAAATATGATGGAATGAAATGTGGAAAATTGCAACAATATAGATAAATCCCAAATAATTTTTCTGAGTAAAAGAATCCAGACCAAAAAGGAGATTATATACTATATACATATATTATATGATTCCATTTATGCAAAACCCTAGAAATATCAGACTAGTCTTAATGACAGAAGGCAGATTAGCTGTTGTCTAGAGGTAGTAGAAGAAGGTAGGAATGGATTATACAGAAGGAGAAAAACACTTTTAGGAGTGAAGGATCTGGTCCTTATCTTGATTGTGGTGATTGTTTCATGGGCATATTTATATGTTAAAGCTAATCAAATTGTATACTTTAAGTGATTGTAGTTGATTGTATGACAATTGTACTTCAATAAAGCTGTAATAAAGGACAGATATTATCTGTAAAGTAAAACACAAACATAGGGTGATAAAAGTTCATGGCTGTCTGCTCTATTCTCCCAGATTTGTTCTAACTAGTTGTGTGAACTTAGGCAAGTAATATTATACTTCTAGTCTCAAGGTACTCCTTGAAGTAGAAAGAGCTGATAGGATGAGATGATTTTTAAGGATCTTTCCTATGAATCTGTAATAGCAGCAGCTGTCTTTTATTGTATGTGTGATACATACCAAGCACTGTACTCACTTTACATCATGGGATGTGACTTAGAGAAATCAATGACTTTTCCAAGATCACAAAGCGATTAACTAGAAGATCCAAGGTCAAACAGTTCTACCTGACCCTAGAGCCTGTGCTTCCAGCCAGTCTTCTCTGCCTCTATGAACACAATTGTTTCACCAGTGCTCACCACCTAGTAACCCTCCTAGCAGTTTAGCTTTGATATGGTCTATGACCTACCACCTGACCTATCTAGTCCCCTTATATTTGCTATCTTTTCCCATGGTTTAACATCCAGCATAGATAATTCTTTATGTGATTTGTGGAATTTGATGGCACAGCTCTTATTAATGTTAATGTGAGTCATGGAGCAGAACTGTATCCATTGTGCTGAGAATTTATACTAGATACAATTTCATCACTAACAGAACAGCTCACAAATTAGAAGGATTTAATATAATTTTGAATCTTACTTTTTATTTTCTATCATTGCCTTTTCACTCAAGAAGAAAAGTGGAACAAAAAAATTCATCATGTACAAGATTATGTGTAATTTCTTCTCCTATGGAATTTAACTTTACTTGAAAGAAGAGATGATAGAAATCCCTGAAGATCCCTCTCCTAGGAGATATCAGTTATAAGCTTCTCTGTCTTTTGCTTGCATATATTTCTCAAGAGAGAGCATATAGTATTATTTATCATCAAATGAAAAAAAGAGTATGCTAATTAATTAATTAATTAATTAAGCATATGCAATGGAGGGAAATAGGCTTATCAGAAAATTTCACCACCACAAATCAGCCCTGGACCCCCCTCCTATCTTAAGTGGGCCGTCTTGCTGCTGAATTCATAATAGCCTGGAGGGTGAACTGATTAACAATAAACTGTTCAGCTTTACAGCAACACTTTTTTTACTTACACCGTGACTTACACTTTTTATGATGGGTCCAAAGTAAGGATTTCAAGAGGCCTGTAGAAGAGCCTCCTGCCAGGAAAAGACCATAGGAACAGAGGAAGGATGGCACAGAAAACCAGCCAGACCATAGGAACAGGGGAAGGATGGCACAGAAAACCAGCCAGACTATAGGAACAGGGGAAGGATGGCACAGAAAACCAGCCAGACTATAGGAACAGGGGAAGGATGGCACAGAAAACCAGCCAGACCATAGGAATAGAGGAAGGATGGCACAGAAAACCAGCCAGACTATAAGAACAGGGGCAGGATGGCACAGAAAACCAGCCAGACCTTAGGAACAGGGGAAGGATGGCACAGAAAACCAGCCAGACTATAGGAACAGGGGAAGGATGGCACAGAAAACCAGCCAGACCATAGGAACAGGGGAAGGATGGCACAGAAAACCAGCCAGACCATAGGAACAGGGGAAGGATGGCACAGAAAACCAGCCAGACCATAGGAACAGGGGAAGGATGGCACAGAAAACCAGCCAGACTATAGGAACATGGGAAGGATGGCATAGAAAACCAGCCAGACCACAGGAACAGAGGAAGGATGGCACAGAAAACAAGCCAGACCATAGGAACAGAGGAAGGATGGCACAGAAAACCAGCCAGACCATAGGAACAGGGGAAGGATGGCACAGAAAACCAGCCAGACCATAGGAACAGGGGAAGGATGGCACAGAAAACCAGCCAGACCATAGGAACAGGGGAAGGATGGCACAGAAAACCAGCCAGACTATAGGAACAGGGGAAGGATGGCACAGAAAACCATCCAGACCATAGGAACAGGGGAAGGATGGCACAGAAAACCAGCCAGACTATAGGAACAGGGGAAGGATGGCACAGAAAACCAGCCAGACCATAGGAACAGAGGAAGGATGGCACAGAAAACCAGCCAGACTATAGGAACAGGGAAAGGATGGCACAGAAAACCAGCCAGACCATAGGAACAGAGGAAGGATGGCACAGAAAACCAGCCAGACCATAGGAACAGGGGAAGGATGGCACAGAAAACCAGCCAGACTATAGGAACAGCGGAAGGATGGCACAGAAACCAGCCAGAGTATAGGAACAGAGGAAGGATGGCACAGAAAACCAGCCAGACCATAGGAACAGAGGAAGGATGGCACAGAAAACCAGCCAGACCATAGGAACAGGGGAAGGATGGCACAGAAAACCAGCCAGACCATAGGAACAGCGGAAGGATGGCACAGAAACCAGCCAGAGTATAGGAACAGAGGAAGGATGGCACAGAAAACCAGCCAGACCATAGGAACAGGGGAAGGATGGCACAGAAAACCAGCCAGATCGAATTGTACCCTTTTTTTGGTCCCTACCTCTCCTTATTTTCCTTACCTATGTTTTGTCTTTCTTCTATCTCTTATGATTCTATTAGTTCTTAATTTCTAAGAAACAAGAGGCTAAAGGAACTCAGAACTCAGAGGTGGAAGAATAGGCTTCATGTCTTTCATCCTCCCTGTTCCTTTCATTCCAAATTGCTCTCAAGGTTCCTGTGACCGCTGGCAAAAAGGCTTGGTCCATCACAATGCCTTCTTCCTGTCCTGAGCTACCTTGAATCAGGTACATGAGAAAAGGGATGCTGGAAAGTCTTTATAAGTAGAAAACACATTTATTTTTATTTTATGGTTGTTTAATGTTGGAAGGCATATGCTTTAAAAAAAACTTTTAGAAATAGCTTTTTCAAGGTATAATTGACCTACAATCAAGTGTACATATTCAAATTGTACAGTAAGGTTTGACATACGTATAAGTGAGGAAATCAACACCACAATCAAGATAAGCATCTCCATCACTCCAAAAGCCAAACACACTTATGATTTCATTTTTCCTCCTTACAACCTGTCCCCAACCCCTGCTTATCCTTGTCACCCATGTGACAGGATTCATACATCCATCTGCAGGTTGTACTTAACCCACACATGTGTTTTGTTTGACTGTTATATAGTATTACAATTTCTAAATCAGTTTTCAAAAGTTAAAAAGCAGTAGATTTCACATACTAAACCTAGATTTCTGTCTTTTTAAAGACTCCCAAATTCTGGTGAGTCTGGGCCAGCATTTTGACTGTCAGCATGCATTTGTCAGACCTGTGCAGTTAACAGCCTCTCCAGACGGACACACATTCTCCAGTTTCCTTGAGTCCCCACAGGCTTGCTTTACTTATTGATGTTGTTTGTTTGGCCTTTGAATGTTTCATCCCTGCCACTCAATCTACCCTCCATCCTAGGACAAATGCTTGCCTGTCTCTCCAAATACCACAAACTTTTCTTGTTTTGCTTTTATTCTTGCAAAGAGCTCTTCCGTTCTCTCCTTACCTAGCTCAATAGTTAGCTCTTTAGTGATGCTTTTTATTTTCAAAATCTCTTTAGGCAGAATACATTGCTCTCTGATCTGCATTCCTGCAGCATTTTATAACTACTGTTATTAGGGAGCATGTCACATCGTTAGTTGTTTGCACATCTGGCCCTCCTGCTAGTAGACGGTGACCTCCTCAAATCCAGGGCAGACATTTTTTGTCCTTAAGTCCTCAGCATCTAGCTTAGTGCCCTATGCTAGGCAGAGCCCTATGATATGTTTCTTACATGTCAAACTAAAGTGATTCTTAAAACATAAGTCCTCTATTCTGTATCTGCAATTCAAATTTGTGTGTGTGTGTGTGTGTGTGTGTGTGTGTGTGTGTGTGTGTATCTCAACTACCTTGATGCTGATTTAGATGCAATAATTGCTGGACTCACATGTGGCATCATTGAAACAGAGAGATCATTTAGCTTGTAGGTGGGAAGTTTCCCGATCTAATTTCCCACATTTGGAAGGTGTATATTCATTATGGTGTGTCAAACAGTTGCTAAATTAATATGATATTTCTTCCCCCTCACACATATGTGATTAATCCTTGTATCCATGAGCACAAAAGAGCTTAACATGTATGTACATTAATCAAAACTTTTCTAATTGTGAGCTTCTTGCCCAGAAAGTTTCCTAAACGTAGGCAAGTTTTTTCATTAAAATCGTAACATTTATTTCTAGCTAGTTTTCCTACCCGTTGCTGACTCTCTGACTATAATCCATCCTATTTCTGACCAGAGGCCATCGTGTTTTCATTGGGTCTACATCAAAACAAATCTTGAAAAAAAACTTCATGCAACAAATCTTTCCTTGGATACAATGTGTTGGAGTTCAATGCTGCTTCTCAGAAGTGAGCATGAAAAAAAAAAACAAAACCTGGCTTATATTTTTCAATCCAATTCTTTTTACAAAAGCATTTTGTGAACGCCTAGCATGTTCAAAAAGCTCTATATACATTGTGGCATGTTCAAAAAGCTCTATATACATTGTGGAGAATAAAGAAATAGTAATACCTAGTCCATTTCCTCAAGGATCTCACAATGTACTGGGAGCAACTGAAAAATATAAGAGCATTTCAGGTACCGGAAGAAAATCGAAGAAAATCAAAGAAAAGCCCAGAGATTGGTACATCAGCCAGCATATTCATAGAGTAGTCAAATATACTATGGGCCACCTGAAACACAGTTTATATGATGGGGTTGGAGAGGACATGTGAAGCTGAGGGTTGGGAAGGGGTGGAGGGTTAAATATGACATTGTAAAAGATTTATCACATCTGAGGAGTCTGAATTTTTATTCCATTTGGGTAATAGGGAGCCATTAAATATTGCAGGGTGAGGGTTCATATTGGAAATGAATATTTGGTTATCTGCTTTGTGTCAGGGTATTGTTTCAGCATTTATGCATGGCATCTTAAGGTTAAGGTAAGTTATGGTATCTCTCTCTGGCTCTCTTTCTGTAAATAAAACAGATGTTTACTGATGATCTGAACGGTAGTTTCAAGTTTGTAACAGAGTAGTGAAGACCCACAGAAAATGAGCCATCTCTACAACCCAGAAAATTCTGTCCCCAAGGATGATAATTTTGCAGCATGTTTAGGATTTATGTAGTCATATAATGCTGGGCACATTTTATTTCTAAGAAGAATTTTGTTCTATTTGTTTTGATCTGGTATAAAAAGTGACTCCTACCTGGTAGTTCTGGGCCACTGAAGATGGAGACCATTATCCTGACGACTCTGGTGAATCTGCTTGTATTTTAAAAACAGGCATTTGTGAATCCAGTACACAGCAAGAGAAGGCAGGGCTAAGACCCACAGGGTGACTGCATTAAGACTCTTTTCTTGTCTCTTTTGCCACTCTGATGGATGATAATAATTTTCTTTTTCCCTGCTGATAATAAATTTATGCTTTCTTCTATCAGTATGTGACTGTTTCCAGAGTTTTTCTCAGCTTAGCCTTGATAAAATTATCCTTCAGAGGAAGGCGATGGAACTTTCCGTCCTAGCCTCTTAGGAATGGACCCTTGGGGACTGGCTTCTGCAGGACCCACGCTATAAGGCAAAGAACCAGCCTTGAGACTGTCTTAATAAAGCCGAGCATTTCATGTGTCAGACAAATAGCCCCGGGCCACAGTAAAGGACCCCAAATGTAAGCAGATGGCAATATTCCTTGCATGAGAAGGAACTGGGGTGGATCACGAAGACAAGGGCACTGCAGCCTAATGGCCCACGTGAATTTAAGCAAAGAGGCTTGCCTTGACATTGTTTCCAGGAGGGAACCAACACCCACTGAGAAATCTTCCTGGGCAGCAATCTCTCCAAGAGTCAGGATACCCCTCAAGTCTGCACTGTTAATCCCTGTCCAGATGGGCCTAACCAGGAAAACTGTGATGATTTCAGTCTAAATTTCACCTTAGCCTCAATTGTGGATTTAGTTCTCAATTGTGTATTTTTACCCCCTAGGTGTGGATGTTTCCTGGCTGGAAACTATTTTGTTTTGAAGAGTGTTTTTGTGACACAGCTTAAATGGATAGATATTAAATCTGGAGCCTATTTTAAGCTTTTGAGGGGGTCATGTCAGGGGCTGGGGACCAGAAGCAACAGTGGCAGAGTAAGAATCAAGACATTTTGGCTGGGCACAGTGGCTCACACCTGTAATTCCCATCATTTTGGGAGGTCGAGGCAGGCAGATCACCTGAGGTCAGGGGTTTGAGACCAGCCTGACCAACATGGCGAAACCCCATCTCTACTAAAAATACAAAAATTAGCCAGGCGTGGTGGCAGGTGCTTGTAATCCCAGCTACTTGGGAGGCTGAGACAGGAGAATCGTTTGAACCCGGGAGGCGGAGGTTGCTGTGAGCCGAGATCTCGCCACTGTAACTCCAGCCTGAGCAACAGAGTGAGACTCTGTCTCAAAAAAAAAAAAAAAAAAAAAAAGCAAATAGACATTTTCAAAACAGCTAAAGAGCTCTGTTCTCCTTCTCCTGCCGGTTGCCCATCTCTGATCCTCACAACTAGCAAGGAGAATATCATTAACGGATTGCAGTTGAGGGATTCTTGCCTCTATATACAAGCAATCTCACTCTATGAGAGAACGTCTAAGAAAATGACTGTGAGAATTCCTAGTTGAAAAAGTTAAAATACTTATGAATATGATTTTATAACTGAAGAAACCATGAGCTGAATCTGCTCACCATGATAATTTGAGGTTTAATTAATTAATGACTAAAGTACCTTGAAAACACAAAGGACTGTATAAATGCTAAATATTATTAAATGTTAATAGCCATGTTCTCGAATAACACTGATATTAATTTAAATTCCTAAACCTTATTATCAGAATGAAATGCATGCTAATGAGGCTTTACTAATAAATATTTTGTTTATGATGTATTTAGAGTGGTATTACTTATCTTGCTAGAGCAAATATAAATTACGGCACATGGCAAAAGGGTGGCTGTCTTTTCTTCACGATAATTAAAATGGAAATGTAGAGAAATATAATGAATATATTAGGCAGAAATTTTGTGTTAGAACCACTGAGGTTTGCTTTATAACTGAGCTGGTGATTCCACTTCTTCTCCTAATAGTGGTTCCAGGATTTGTTTGTCCACTTTTGCCTCATTAGACCCTCTTAACTGATACTGAATGAAGCGTATTTACATTTTCAAGCAAATTGAATGAAAATTAAAAAATTCAAGGAAAATCGCATGTCATTCTTTGATATTCTTGGATGCTTTCAATCAAGCTTGGGGATTTCTTTTTATACCGCTTCTTGCTGGGACAACTGACAAGTCACTATCATTGCTCTACAGATGGGAAGCGGGCTTGCCTTGCTGTTCGTTTCCTGCCTTGACTGGCTGATAAAGCTAGAGTTTGCTTCTTGGGATGCTGAATCATTCGTGTTTCAATTAGTGAAGACCTGAGTGAATTTCAGGTAGAATATATATTCATACATTATTTATATGTGGTTTTTTATTCCAAATTGCAGTGGCTGCTTATATGTAGGGTACAGATGGCTTAGTCCAGACCCCTTCAAGTTTAGAAGTCTGAAATTTATGCATACTCTCGAGTCATAGGCATCAAACAACTTTTCTTTCAACCTTCTTCTTACCAGTAGGGTGACCACAACTCTTGTTCCAACATGTAAAAATAATATCTAATACTAGTATTGTCATGTGCTAGCATAGTGCTCTATACATATATACATACACACACACACACACACACACACACACACACACACATATATATCTTTTTTTTTTTTTTTTGAGATGGAGTCTCACTCTGTCACCCAGGCTATAGTGCAGTGGCATGACCTCGGCTCACTGCAACCTCTGCCTCCTAGGTTCAAGAGATTCTCCTGCCTCAGCCTCCTGAATAGTTGGGACTACAGGTGTGCACCACCACACCTGGCTAAATTTTTTTTGTATTTATAGTAGAGACAGGGTTTCACTGTGTTAGCCAGGATGGGCTCGATCTCTTGACCTCATGATCCGCCCACCTTGGCCTCCCAAAGTGCTGGGATTACAGGCATGAGCCACTGCACCCAGCCCAGTGCTATATATTTTACCTGTATTTTAAAATTCAATCCTCATGAAAACTCTATGAAATAAATAGGTAATAACAATATATCTAAAAATAGCACACATTGGCCAGGCATGGTGGCTCATGCCTGTAATCCCAGCACTTTGGGAGGCCAAGGCAGGCGGATCACGAGGTCAGCAGTTCAAGACCAGACTGGCCAATATGGTGAAATGCCGTCTGTACTAAATACAAAAAAATTAGCTGGGTGCAGTGGTGCACTCCTGAAGTTCCAGTTACTTGGGAGGCTGAGGCAGGAGAATCACTTGAACCTGGGAGGCGGAGGTTGTAGTGAGACGAGATTGTACCACTGCACTCCACCCTGGGCAACAGAGTGAGACTCCGTCTCAAAAAAAAAAAATAAATAAAATAAAAAGCACACGTCTACTTAAACATACACATCTGTTTCAAGCAATCTATAAATTAGAAAAATATATTTTTATTATTGGTTTGTAAAGACACTTCATAAAGCAATGATCATAACTCTGTCATTTTTGGGCAAAAGCTTTTAGAATTTTTCTTCTAATTTTTAAAGTTTTTGAAGTATTACAGTTTAAAGAAAGCATATTATAGTTAGTCGTATCGGGCCATGTTTTCCTTTGGGATTTAGTCCATTGTATCTGAATTTAGAAAACCTTTTCCTATCAACAGATGAAAAAACAATTTACAAATAATTTTTCTTGCTCTTTAATCACTTGAGATTGCTTAAATGTTTTCTCTCTTTTTTTTATGTTTAGTTCATTAATTCATCTGAAATGTATTATGATATCTATTCTAAAGCCAAGCTTCAAATAGACCTTTTGTTCCAAAGGTTAACCACTATTTCTAGGATTTTTATAAAGCATGATTAGAACTTAGAAAGCAACCAGGCTTCTCAGTGTGGCAATAACTCTGTAAAGTATCACTATGCTGCATCTGCTCAACAGGTTTTTGTAGCACTGAATATACCATATGGGAACAAAATCATGTTGAAATGGCCACCCAGGCTTGGCACATTTTGGCTGAATCCTCATGAGGGTCAGAACCATGTTCTTGAATCCCTTGGGTGTGAACAGCAGAAATGGCTGCCCTGAAAGAACAAGAACCTTGGCTTTGTTCCTATCATTTTTTCCAAAGGCCAAGACTTAAAGTCACACACCGATACAGACAGCTAAAGAAAGTCTCCAGATAACAAGCCAGCAATGCATCAACCCATGATGCAGCTGCGGTAGAGATGATCTTTATGTCAAAAGCTGCTTAATGCAGCCAGAATATTGGCTACAAACCAGTCATATAGGAAATGGACTCATGTTGCCTCATCGATTATTTTCTAAATAGTGGCAATTTTAAGGCCTCTCGATAATAGCTTTGCTGTTGAACCTAAACAGGAAAAAATTGATGATTTCTGGAATTATTACGCATAGAAGATGAAAAAGAAATTAATATGCATCACATCCAGCCGGCATCCAGCAATGTTGATAATGGCTAACATGCTCTGAGAACTCACTATGAGTGTGCAGTACACATTTTACACGTCATTTCCAATTCAACCCTCACGATAATCCTATGGAATTATCAAACTATTATCACCTGGAACAATTTATCCTCATTTAACAGACATCCACCTAGAAAGTGGAGAACCAGGGATTTCAATCTGATTCCAGAGCCTAGGCACTTAATCTCTGTATTGCCTATTTGAGTTAGGTATAGTACCTATTTAGTAAGATTTTGACTAATAGAATGAGTAAGTTAATTATTGGGGAAATATGTAAAATAATATTACCTATAAATATTTAAAAGCAAACAAAATTATAATTACCATAAAAAGATTTATTTATTTAGTGCAACCTATAAAATCTACTTCAACAATGTTACAAAGTAAAAATACATCTTTGGCTGATAGTGTGAATAAACACAAAGTATCAACTTCCAGAAAAGGCCATGTATTACCCTCATATTTTAATACCAGCAATTATAAAATAATAATTTAATTTGATCTGCCTATTTACAGATTTTTAAATATAGACAGTGAAAATAGACATGACAGGAGAGAGACTGAAACTACCACAATAAATGACCAATGAAATTCAGCTTCTCAAGACAGTTGATAATTTTTATCGGGTTTTCTCATATTACATTTATGCACACATTAAAAGATGCATAAGAGAAATATGACTTAAAAATATTTATGAAAATTGATTATCTATAACATTCAAATGTAATGGGAAAAAGCAATCAAAAAGTAGAAGAGTAAAAATCTTAAATATGTATCTGCCTACATAATTTTTCAGGTTCTGTTTGCAAAAATATAAACTAATGCGTAAACAAATAATTGATGGATTCCACAGGTAACTATTGAAGAACAGTTACCTCTGTTCACACAATCTTAGAAAAAACTTTCAAAGAAAAGAATATGAAATTATGATAAGTATTTCACTGCAATCTCCTATATCCAAATATTTAGAAAGAATATCAGTTTCACATTGTAAACTTTAGTTTAGAAAACTAAAAAAATGAAATGAGGAGTCATTATTCCATTATTTATTATTTGTCTGAGTTTAAGAACATCAGGAATTTCTGCATCTCAGGTAAATAAATCAAGCGTAAGTCAATCTGCAGAAATATAAGGCTCCCTACAATGGCAGATGACATGGGACACAGAGATACAAATACAGGTGAAACATTAAAGGTTGAAAACATCATAATAAATAAAGACAGACAATCTCAACAGGATGGTGACCAGTTAGTGACACCACTCTCGGATTATCAAGAAAGAGAAGGTAGGTTAAAGGTCACAGCACCCTGGCTGAGTCCTGGTAGCAGGGCATAAGCAAAGTGCTTTTCCATATCAGCATTTTGGAAAATACCTTTTTCTCAACATACAGACCATTGAAGAAGTCACAGGATTTTAAAGCTGTTAGCTGGAAAGAAAGATAAACAATGCGTCAAAAGCCATTGTCATGCTATTAAAATCTTGGCCAGATTCTTCTTTGTGCTTTCCACATCTCCCGAAATTTATGCAGTGAAATGTGTTTGCAGTAATTATTTAAAAGAATAAGTAGGTCCTCATAGATAAATTACCAATCTGTTAATTCTTTATGAATAAAATTAGTTTAATTCTAAAATTGAAATTTAAGAGTTCTTAACCCAAGCCTTTATAATCAATAATAGTCCTTTCCTTCCTTCCATCTCTTCCTCTCCTTTCCATCCCCCTTCCTTCTTTCCCTCCTTCCTTCCTCCCTTCCTTCCTTCCTTCCTTCCTTCCTTCCTTCCTTCCCTCCCTCCTTCCTTCCTTCCCTTCCTTCCTTCCTTCCTTCCTTCCTTCCTTCCTTCCTTTCCTTTCCTTCCTTCCTTCCTTCCTTCCTTCCTTCCTTCCTTCCTTCCTTCCCTCCTTCACCAGTTATTTAAAACATTTCTATTAAGGAAACAGAGTGTTCCAGATTCCTGTTTATTTGGGGGATAGGAAGTCTCATAAGACAAAGTTCCTGATGTCCAGGAGTCTAAGGTTTACTATGGAAAATAAACATATTATAAAGTAATTTGAATAGTATAATTAAACTATAATCTTTTTTTAAAAAACTACTGTAATTAAAGATGTTGCAGTGGGCCTGGCTATAGCAAAAAGGAAATTCTGTTTGGATGCACCAAGGAAGGGTCTGCAGAGAAGGAGGCCACTGGGCTGGAAGGGAATGACGCATTAGGCACTGGGTAGAGGAGGGGTGAGAGATTCCCAAGCTCTGGAGCATCATGTCCAACCCTGAGGGAGAACTATGCAGGGAGGAATAGATGGTGTTCCTTATGACCTGGGCAAAAGCTACTTTTAGAAGGGGGTTTAGAAATAATGCCAGAGCCAGGTGCAGTGGCTCACACCTGTAACCCCAGCACTTTGGGAGGCCAAGGCGGATGGATCAAGGGGTCAAGAGATTGAGACCATCCTGGCCAACATAGTGAAACCCCATCTGTACTATAAATACAAAAATTAGCTGGGTGTGGTAGCGAGCACCTGTAATCCCAGCTACTCTGGAGGCGGAGGCAGGAGAATTGCTTGAACCCGGGAGGCGGAGGTTGCAGTGAGCCGAGATCGCGCCACTGCACTGCAGCCTAGTGACAGAGTGAGACTCTGTCTCAAAACAAAACAAAACAAAACAAAACAAAAACAAACAAACAAACAAAATCAAATAATGCCAGAGAGACCAGTTGGTTAAGGAATGCTCATAGCTCCCATTCTCATCCCTCTTCACCCCATCCTAAAAGAAGAAAATGAATTGCCAAGGTTTGCAGAAACGTTTGACCATCTCTGTTCCAGATGCTGCAGTTGCTCCTGTTCTGGCTCTTACGGGCCACAGAAGACAAAAGGCCGGGCCACCTTGCTCCTCCTCAGACTCCTCCCTTCTTCTCTCCCCTTCCGGCACTTGGCAGATTCTTTCTCTACACGTGGCCAGTGCACAAGCTCTCGGGACTCCTTCTCCTTGGCAGGAGGCTTAGCTGCATCTCCACTGGCTCCTTTCTCACAGGATCAGAGGTCTTGATGGACCCAGGGCTCTATTTCCCTGGTAAAGAAATGCACCCATTCCTTACCCACCCCATCCCTCTTCCCTCAACACCCCTTTCAGCTTTGTGGAAAGGCAAGCAGAAGAGGAGACTTGGAAAAGGACTTGGACACACCTAACCCAGAAAAAAGGAACCTTCCCGACTCCCTATAATCTAGCCCAGTTCACTACTTTCCATGCACTGGGGCCAGAGTTCCTACTGGTAGTAAAATGTGCCTTTGCCTTATATGAGTGTCTATTCAGATATTTCTCCCTGGAAAGCTCTCAGAATGTGGTGGCTGTGATTTCAGAACTTGAATATTCCTGAGTTTCCTAATCAAAACAATGCCTGCCTGCCTGCCTGCCTGCCTGCCTGTCTGTCTGTCTGTCTCTCTCTCTCTCTTTCTGTACATTGCAAGGCCAATGTCATAAGGGAGACTTATATGCCATTCTAAGGTGTGGTGGGAGTGGGGTTATATAGGTGACCACTGAAGGGTTTTAAGCCACATGTTCAGAAGAGCATTTCTAAAAGACCATTTAGGTAGGTGTATTTAGACTAGATTGTGGGGAGTGACAGGGTGGGGGGAGATCTAAGAGGCAGAGGACTAAATTAAAGATGGTAAGGACCCTAGCCAGGGAAAGAAGCACAAAGGAAGGCATATTTTAGTCATTGGGGCTTAGTAATGAGTGGAAAATCTCATTGAAAAGCTGAATGACACAATCGCCAACTAGAGAAGTTACTCAATGTGGAGGAAGACAATGGCTTATATTTTAAATATCCCCAAATAAATGAGTTTGGGGTGCTTCAGGAATAGATGTGGAGTAGATTTAAGATATGGCTCTGGCCTTTGGAAGATAACTGGGATGTCATGGAAGCCATAGATTTGGGTGAGATCAACCACGGAGGGTGTTCGGAACACAAAGGCCACAGAGCTGGGAATGGAAATGTTGGTAGTATGTATACCTTACATTTATCTGTATCACTTTACAAATGCATGTAAAGTGAATAGAGAAAGAAGAAGAGAGATGGAGTAAGAAAGATTGAGAAGAAATTTTCCAAGATGTAAAATTCTTCTGGAATTTATCAATGTCTTTAGACCAGGTGTCAGAAAAACTATGGACTGTGGACCTATATGTATAGATAAGCCTGGACCAGAGAATGAGCTAAGTGAGCAGGAGCTTCTTCTGGCCATCTTCTCCACCAAGGCCCTGGGCTGTCAGTGATGCATCTGACAATTAGTTACCAATAAATACCATGGGAGCCATTAGGAGACACTATAAGTTTTGCAGAACATTGCTGAAATCGCCAAAATGTCCTATTTAAAATATTAATATCTAAAAGTATTTGGTGCAATTATGTGTAAATTTAATAGAAACAAAATAATCTATCATCTGGTAAAGACTCAAGAAAATTAAAGGGAACTGAATGAGCTGGTCTTGAACTTTAGTCCCTGTTTTTATACATCTGCTCTGCGTATCTGCTTTTAGAAGCTGGCGCTTATTGTTTGGGAAGAAAGAATACTAATGAATTCATTCTACTGACAATATTTTATGTAGGCATATTGTTTATCAAACCATAAAGGAATAAGTAGATGGTTTCTTATGATCTCTTCTGGACAAGTTGGCTGCAGAATTTGCAAAATAAAAATGTGGAGCCCTTTGATCAAAAAGCAGGAAGAAGTGCCATTAAAGGTACTAAAATATACAGCTTTTTCCTTTCTTCCATAGTCTTTCTCTCAACTCATCATGATGTTTTTTATTTGTTATGTAATGTTGTTCTAAGTAAAGAAAAATTAAAATTTCAAGTCATTACCATATATTCTTTATATTGTGCATTGCCAGTTTAAAATCCAAATATAAAAGCATTTAACTAGATGCAGAATCACTGAAATGACAAAAGCCATACATGCTCATACATGCATAAGTAATGTACAGAAGTAACATCAGGAAGAAAGAAGATGATAGAGATCTTGGTCACTCGTGTTTCTTAGAGACCACCATCACACTTCTGCCTTTGAAGCTGCTCTGGTTCAAATGGAAAGCCTAGCCTCTCAGGACTGTCAGCACACCCGCTTCCTCAGTCGTAGACATTACACACTTTATACTTACATTGAGACCCGTGGAACACTCGCCTATCATGGGTGCACTGGAATTCTGTGCTCACAGGACATGTCAGTGGCAGCAAGGAATGGCAGGCACGCACATTGCACCCTATCTCCCCTGCTTATGCACTGCTGTGGTATCCTATAGGGCTTCTCTTACAACACAAAAGTTCAAAGATAAAATTGTTAATTTCAGTACAGCAACAGCAAAGCATTAATCCACTGAGCCCTGGCCCTGCGCAACTGCAGAGGTTGCATGCCCCATGAAGCCTCCTGGGCTTGCAGGTTTCAAAGAGAAGCCTGCTCATGCCAGCCAGCATCCATCATCTCTAGGATCTGCCAGCAGTGCCAGGAGCTGAGTACACATGGACTTCAGATCAGTTGTAAGCTCTGAGCTCGGTGTCCACCTTCTGCAGATGCTGCTGCTGTCCCGCTAGTACAGAAGCCTTCCAGGGCTCTCTGCTCAGTCCTAGCAGCTCTCAGAGTCACCTAACAGACCTTCCTAAACATACTTACATCCTGTTCAAGTGGCTCTGATGTGAGTGAGACTGGGCATTATAAGCATCCAGCTGTCAAGAATCAACTAGGGTTTTTTGTCTTTGGAAGTACCTTTTCAGAAGAGTTGATCCTCAAAGAAGATATTTATCTAGTGGCTTTACATAACATGCTTATGCAATCTGTGAAGTCTAGATGCAAATGATGCACTCAATTTTTGATGTTTTCCAACCAATATTGACTGAGCACTCAATATGTACAGGCAATGTGTGGGGAACTGAGGATATGAGGGTAAGTGAATATGGACACGGTCCCTGGACTCTCAAAACTTACAATCTAGTATTGGCCAGTTTGAAGGACTGAGATAAGGCTACTGTTATTTCATTGGAATCACATAATATATTTAGTATTTTTAATAATAGAAGTTCATAAAATGCAAGAACATAGGTCTTCTGAAACCACTTGTCCGGTAGGTCTTTCCAATCTTCAATACTGACTCTTAGAGTAAAAAAAAAAAAAAAAAAAAGGTAGCCTGGATGTGGTAGGGGGAGGGGAGTGGGATGGAAGGAAAATGAAAACTAGGAAGTTGATTGCTCCAAACAGAGTTTCAACGTAGACTCATTAGTAAAAATGAACTACCTTCCTGGTTAACTGAACTGAGTTTAATCACTATGAAATAATTCAGTGCTGACAGACAAGATGGGCATCATTACCTTGTTCCTTGTATTCCACTTCTGGATTTTTATGAGACTTTTCCACTTCACTGGAAAGTCGTCTTCGTCAATCAATTTTACGTATTCGGTTTGGATCACTT
Source organism: Homo sapiens (assembly GCF_000001405.40). Classification (NCBI taxonomy): domain Eukaryota; kingdom Metazoa; phylum Chordata; class Mammalia; order Primates; family Hominidae; genus Homo; species Homo sapiens. Next base: position 155,745,718 of record NC_000006.12, read on the forward strand.
TCCTAAGGTAGATTAAGATCCAAGTGTACTTTTGTGTTTTTAACTATATTAATTGCTTGATCAGCTCCCATTTCAGAGAAGCTCAGGGAAATGCTTTGTGCTTACATCTCTAGTCTCTGAAAGCTGCTTCTTTGCCTTTTCCTTCTTGTCTATTAACCCTGCACTTGCCATGCAAATTATACAAATGTTGCACTTCTGGCACTAGTAAATTACATTTATATTTGAATTTCATTAGACACTTTCACGGGTGATTGAGCTTGTTTACGTTCTTCCTTTCTAATCAAACGACTGAAATCTAAGGTCTGTCTCTGACTCAATGGTATGGCAAACAAGTTTTATTCTTGCAAAATAATTTCTAAGTAATTGAAAATGGGAAAAAAAGAGGAAGAAAAAAGCGTCTTCAAATGCAGACTTCTTTTTTCTTTCTTATGAGCAACTGAAATCCTAGAATTGAAAACTGTTTAATTAAGCATTTTGAAATAAACACCAACAACCCAATGAAGAAAGTATAAACACAACCATTTGTATATTTTCGATTCTTGTGCTGAGGATAACTATGTTGACACTTTAAAAAATCTATGTCTTTGTAAGGGCAAAACAAAACAATCAAATTGTTCCAAATGGATTTGGATATTTAAGAGGTCCATACCATTAATAAGAATTGACCTCAATCTTGCCTTGAATAAAATACTGTCTCCTAGTATTTATGAAGACCTTTGTAACAGATAACAAAGCATGGTATTAAGTAAAAGTTGACATATTCTCTCTAGAGGATTATAAGTAATGAGATTGTGTGAGTAAACAATCCATCTTTCATTTGGTGTGATATTTCTAGGTATGTTAAACATATATTTTTCAGTATTCTAAAATAGCACAAAAGGATTAATTGATTTACTAAAGCGTTTAAAACTTTTATATTCTCTTTCCAAAGAAATACAAATTACTTTGGAGATCTCTCCTTACAAAAATGACTGTTTACTTGAGAAGAAAAACAAAGAACATTAAAAACACAATTGGCCTCGGATGATAATTTGAGATTTCTCTAAACTCTATGTTATGTAGGACTAAATTTTTATTAATGATTTCTCATGTCCTACTTCTAGTTTCTCAAATTTTTAATAAATGAGCACACATTATATATTTAAAACTACCCATTGTCTTTCCTTTTGTCTCATCCAGATTTTTAAATCCACTGTACTGCAGCCAAACTGGACTAGCGGTTAGTCCCCAAACATCTCTATACTCCCAATCTCGGGCTTTTCTTGAGGCAAATCTTTCCATTTGCCTAAAATCTATTCCCCGGTATCTATGCCTAACATTGTTCTGCTGGTCTTTCATTTCTCAATACAAATACCAGATTCTCTGTCGAAATTTTCCCTAAAGAGATCTCTCCCATCTTTGAAGCACACATTTAGAATACTCTGAAAAGCAGTGTTTAGAGTGAGACCTGGGTTTAAATGATAACTGAGCACTGGTTACATATCTTTGGGCAAACTGACCTCTCAGACTTTATGACTTTTGTCTGTGACATAGGAGGCACATGCCCATATGACTGGGAGAAACAAATGAGATAATTTAGGGAAAATTCTTGGTTGGTCCAGTGTTAGTTCCATAGAAGGGCTCAGGATTTGTAGCCACTGCTATAATTCTATTACTACCCACATTTCATCCATGACAAATCATCTACTTTAGTTGGGAGAGTACATGTATACTTTCCTAACTATTGATAGATCATAATGATAAGAAAATATCTATGTTTCTTTGCTTTCATCCATCACAATATCTAACACAATGTCATGGCACTTAATAAATAATTCTTAATTAACTGTTTCTTCCGTGAGTACCTTGAATGGCTTATTCACTGAAAAAAGAAAAAACATATCCAGTCATTCTCTTTTCTCACCCAACTTGTGAGCTTGCGTGTGTGCATGTGCAGGGGAGGGGGAGAAAAGTATGTGTACACTCTCATAGGCTTAGCTGGCAAACATCTCTGGAGTGGGGTGCCAGCTAACGTTGTATTCCTGTGGTGGGAAAAAAAAAATGCTTCTAAAAATTGGTAATTCTCATCAATACACAGAATGTAATTAAATATGCCAGTAAATTACATTTATATTTGAATTCAGAGCCTTATCAGCTAGGAGATAACTAGAAACAAATTTTCCTAATAATAAATTCTTAAGGATTTAATCTAGAAAATGATATTTAGTTCAGCATCAAGTTTTCAAGCTTATTTTAGCTTTGGAAAATTATAATTTCTGAGTAACTAAAACTTGAGAAATAAAAGACATCTTGCTAGCATAATTTGTAAAGCATTCAGTGGTTAAAATAAGAAAAATTAGCCTTTGAGTGAAACTTAAAACACGTTTGTCAAAAGCTAGCAGCCAAAACACAGGAAAGCAATTTATCCAAAATTAGATTGCTTTGAAATACTAAGGTTAATGGAATCAAGAGAGGAAAAAGGTGGTGAGATAATTTGGGATCGTTAAGACCTTCAACTTAGATGGGACATAATCTAAGTTAACTATGTGAACATTAACTCATGTCTTAAAATGCTCCAAACAGAGTGGGGGCTGGCAAGATGGCCAAATAGGAGTAGCTCTGGTCTGCAGCTCCCAGTGAGATCAATGCAGAAGGCAGGTGATTTCTGCATTTCCGAATGAGGTACCTGGCTCATTTCACTGGGACTGGTTAGACTGGGTGCAGCCCAAGGAGGGCAAGCCAAAGCAGGGTGGGGTGTCACCTCACCCAGGAAGCACTAGGGGTTGGGGAGCTCCCTCCCCTAGCCAAGGGAAGCTGTGAGGGACTGTGCCCTAAGGAATGGTATATTCAAGCCCAGAAACTATGCTTTTTCCACGGTCTTCACAACCTGCAGAGCAGGAGATTCCCTCAGGTGCCTACACCACCAGGACCCTGGGTTTCAAGCACAAAACTGGGTGGCCGTTTGGGCAGACACTGAGCTAGCTGCAGGATTTGTTTTTGTTTTTTTTTCATGTCCCAGTGGTGATTGAAACACCAGTGAGACAGAACCATTCATTCCCCTGGAAAGGGGGCTGAAGCCAGGGAGCCAAGTGTTCTAGCTCAGTGGATCCCACCCCCATGGAGCCCAGCAAACTAAGATCCACTGGCTTGAAATTCTCGCTGCCAGCACAGCAGTCTGAAGTTGACCTGGGATGCTTGTGCTTGGTGGGAGGAGGGGCATCCACCATTACTGAAGTGTGAGTAGGCAGGTTTTCCCCTCACAGTGTAAACAAAGCTACTGGGAAGTTTGAACTGGGCAGAGCCCACCAGAGCTCAGCAAAGATGCTGTAGCCAGACTCTCTCTAGATTCCTCCTCTCTGGATAGGGCATCTCTGAAAGGCAGCAGCCCTAGTCAGGGGCTTATAGATAAAACTCCCATCTCCCTGGGACAGAGCACCTGGGGGAAGGGGCGGCTGTGGGCGCAGCTTCAGCAGACTTAAACATTCCTGCCTACCAACTCAGAAGGCAGCAGCCAATCTCCCAGCACACACTCGAGGTCTGCTTAGGGACAGACTGCCTCCTCAAGTGGGTCCCTGACCCCTGTGCCTCCTGACTAAGAGACACCTCCCAGCAGGGGTCGACAGACACCTCACACAGGAGAGCTCTGGCTGGCATCTGGTGGGTGCCCCTCTGGGACAAAGCTTCCAGAGGAAGGAACAGGCAGCAATCTTTGCTGTTCTGCAGCCTCTGCTGGTGATACCCAGGCAAATAGGGTCTGGAGTGGACCTCCAGTAAACTCCGGCAGACCTGCAGCAGAGGGGCCTGACAGTTAGAAGGAAAACTAACAAACAGAAAGGAATAGCATCAACATCAACCAAAAGAACGTCCACACAGAAACCCCATCTGAAGGTCACCAACATCAAAGACCAAAGGTAGATAAATCCATGAAGATGAGGAAAAACCACTGCAAAAAGGCTGAAAATTCCAAAATTCCAAAATACCTCTTCTCCTCCAAAGGATCACAACTCCTTGTCAGCAAGGAAACAAAAGCGGATGGAGAATGAGTTTGACGAATTGACAGAAGTAGGCTTCAGAAGGTGAGTAATAACAAACTCCTCTGAGCTAAAGGAACATGTTCTAACCCAATGCAAGGAAGCTTTAAGAACCTTGAAAAAAGGTTAGAGGAATTGCTAACTAGAATACCCAGTTTAGAGAAGAACATAAATGACCTGATGGAGCTGAAAAACACAGCATGAGAACTTCGTGAAGCATACACAACTATCAATAGATGAATCAATCACGTGGAAGAAAGGAAATCAGAGATTGAAGATCAACTTAATGAAATAAAGCATGAAGACAAGATTAGAGAAAAAGAATGAAAAGAAATGATAAAGACTCCAAGAAATATGGGACTATGTTGGAAAACAGTCTTCAGGATATTATCCAGGAGAGCATCCCCAACCTAGCAAGACAGGTTAACATTCAAATTCAGGAAATACAGAGAACACCATAGAGATATTCCTCCAGAAGAGCAACCCCAAGATACATAATTGTCAGATTCACCAAGGTTGAAATTCAGGAAAAAATGGTAAGGGCAGCCAGAGAGAAAGGTCTGGTTACCCACAAAGGGAAGCCCATCAGACTAATAGCAGATCTCTCTGCAGAAACCCTAAGAGCCAGAAGAGAGGGGGCCAATATTCAACATTCTTAAAGAAAAGAATTTTCAACCCAGAATTTCATATCCAGACAAACTAAGTTAATCATATCCAGCCATAAGCGAAGGAGAAATAAAATCCTTTACAGACAAGCAAATGCTGAGAGATTTTGTCACCACCAGGCCTGCCTTACAAAATCTCCTGAAGGAAGCACTAAATATGGAAAGGAAAAACTGTTACTAGTCACTACAAAAACAGCAAATTGTAAAGCCCACAGACACTATGAAGAAACTGCATCAAGTAATGGGCAACATAACCAGCTAGCATCATAATGACAGGATGAAATTCACACATAGCAATATTAACCTTAAATGTAAATGGGCTAAATGTCCCAATTAAAAGACACAGACTGGCAAATTGGATAGTCAAGACCCATCAGTGTGGTGTATTCAGGAGACCCACCTCATGTGGAGAGACACACATAGTCTCAAAATAAAGGGATGGAGGAATATTTACCAAGCAAATGGAAAGCAAAAAAAAAAGCAGGCATTGCAATCGTAGTCTCTGATAAAACAGACTTTAAACCAACAAAGATCAAGACAAAGAAGGGCATTAAATAATGGTAAAGGAATCAATGCAACAAGAAGAGCTAATGAGCTAACTATCCTAAATATATATGCACCCAAACAGGAGCACCCAGATTCATAAAGCAAGTTCTTAGAGACCTACGAAGACACTTAGACTCCCACAATAATAGTGGGAGACTTTAACACCGCACTGTCAATATTAGACAGGTCAATGAGACAGAACATTAACAAGGATATTCAGGACTTGAACTCAGGTCTGGACCAAGTCGACCTAATAGACCTAAAATCACTTGCATGTGTGCAAAAGAAAGCCACAGAATGTGTGTCAGCATTGTTTATAGTCATAGGAAATTTCAAACATGTGTACTTTGTAAATCATAGGACAATAATAAATTATTTGTGACATATTCCAATAATGGAAAGCTCCACTGCAGTTTGAATGAATGACGTGAAAGAAGATGCATCAAAACAAATAGAAATAAAAATGTATTGTGTTGGATAAAAGGCAAGTTACATCATCATTATATAAAGTGTTTGATGTTAATTTTGTACATTTTAATTTATATACACTACACAGAGTATAAATTTTAATGTATGTATATACATATATAAATGTTAGTTTATATGTATGTAAATATATAATTTATTTTTGATTAATTATAATTAAGAATAAAGAATACAGCATATAAACATAATTTTCTATAGTGTGTTATATATAGTACTTATATTAAGTATAAAATTTAATTTAAATACAGTATGAACTTATATCTTTTAAGTTTATGCGTTATGTGCATATGAATATGTAATAAAACTGTGAAATACATGTAGAAGAGTAAGAAAAAAAGAAAACCCCATCGTCTCAGCCCAAAAATCCCTTAAGCAAATAAGCAACTTCAGCAAAGTCCCAGGATACAAAATCAATGTGCAAAAATAACGAGCATTCCTATACAGCAATAATAGACAAATAGCCAAATCATAAGTGAACTTTCATTCACAATTGCTACAAAGAAAATAAAACACCTAGGAATACAACTTACAAGGGATGTGAAAGACCTCTTCAAGGAGAACTACAAACCACTGCTCAAGGAAATAAGAGAGGACACAAACAAATGGAAAAACACTCCGTGCTCACGGATAAGAAGAAACAATATCGTGAAAATGGCCATACTGCCTCAAGTAATTTCTAGATTCAATGCTATCCCCATCAAGCTACCATTGACTTTCTTCACAGAATTAGAAAAAAACACTTCAAATTTCACATGGAACCAAAAAAAGCCCATATAGCCAAGACAATCTTAAGCAAAAAGAACATAGCTGGAGGCGCCACGCTACCTGACTTCAAACTATACTACAAGGGTACAGTAACCAAAACAGCATGGCACTGGTACCAAAACAGATGTATAGACCAATGGAATGGAACAGAGCCCTCAGAAATAACACCACACATCCATAACCATCTGATTTTTGACAAACTTGACAAAAACAAGCAGTAGGGAAAGGATTCCCAACTGAATAAATGGTGTTGGGAAAACTTGCTAGCCATATGCAGAAAACTGAAACTGGACCCCTTCCTTAAACTTTGTACAAAAATTAACTCAAGATGGATTAAAGACTTAAACGTAAGACCTAAATCCATAAAAACTCTAGAAGAAAACCTAAGCAATACCATTCAGGACATAGGCTTGGGCAAAGACTTCATGACTAAAACACCAAAAATAATGGCAACAAAAGCCAAAATTGACAAATGGGATCTAATTAAACTAAAGAGCTTCTGCACAGCAAAAGAAACGATCATCGGAGTGAACAGGCAACCTACAGAATGGGAGAAAATTTTTGCAATCTATCCATCTGGCAAAGGGCTAGTATCCAGAATCTAGAAGGAACTTAACCAAATTTACAAGAAGAAAACAACCCCATCAAAAAGTGGGCAAAGAATACGAACAGACACTTCTCAAAAGAAGACATTTATGCAGCCAGCAAACACGTGAGAAAAAGCTCATCATCACTGGTCATTAGAGAGATGCAAATCAAAACCACAACGAGATACCATCTCACGCCAGTTAGAATGGTGATCATTAAAAAGTCAGGAAACAACAGATGCTGGAGAGGATGTGGAGAAATAGGAACACTTTTACACTGCTGGTGAAGGTGTAAATTAGTTCAACCATTGTGGAAGACAGTGTGGCGATTCCTCAAGGATCTAGGACCAGAAATACCATTTGAAACAGCGATCCTATTACTGGGTGTATACCCGAAGGATTATATATCACTGTACTATAAAGACACATGCACATGCATGTTTATGGCAGCACTATTCACAATAGCAAAGACTTGGAACCAACCCAAATGTCCATCAGTGATAGACTGGAAAAAGAAAATGTGGCACATATACACCATGGAATACTATGCAGCCATAAAAAAGGATGAGTTCATGTCCTTTGCAGGGACATGGATGAAGCTGGAAATCATCATTCTCAGCAAACTAACTCAGGGACAGAAAACCAAACACCGCATCTTCTCATTCATAAGTGGGAGTTGAACAATTTGAGAACACATGGACACAGGGAGGAGAACACCACACAATGGGGCCTGTTGTGGGGTGGGGAGCTAGGGGAGGGATAGCATTAGGAGAAATACCTAATGTAGGTGATGGGTTGATGGGTGCAGCAAACCACCATGGTATGTGTATACCTATGTAAGAAACCTGCACATTCTGCATATGTATCCCAGAACTTAAAGTATAATTAAAAAGAAAAGAAAAGAAAAATGCAACCTGTGTAAGTAGAGAAATTTCACAAAGTAATAGCTAAATGTGTACCACACCTGTGTTTTAGGGAGCTTGGTTGTTTTTAAAAATAATTTGGAATCAATACTTTAAACCCTGTTTTATTATTTACCATTATTTCTCACAATCAATATATCACATACATATATACTTGTTTATTTGCTTACTGTTATCTTTGCTTCACTGGGATATAAGTTCCATGAAATGAAGAACTTTGGACTTGTTCACTGCTAAATCTGCAGTACATAGAACAGTGCCAACATACAGAGGGATCTTAGAATATATTTGTTGAATATATGAATAAGTGAACGAGTAAATTTCACTTGGCATCTTTTTTTCTTTTTACTTATCATGTTTTGAGGATTTCTCCATGTTACTAAAGAGTAAAATACCTTTTTAAGGAAGAAATCATGGTGTACCTACTGATATACTTTGGCAGTGTCCCCACCCAAATCTCATCTCAAATTGTAATCACCATAATCCACACATGTAGAGAAAGGAACCCAGTGGGAGGTGATTGGATCATGGTGATGGTTTGGTTTCCCTCATGCTGTTCTTGTGATAGTGAGTTCTCACGAGATCTGATGGTTTTATAAGGGGCTCTTCCCTGTTCGCTCCTCACTCTTCCCTCTCCTGCCACCTTGTGAAGAAGGAGGTGTTTGCTTCCACTTCTGCCATGATTATAAGTTTCCTGAGGCCTCCCCAGGCATGTGAAACTGTGAGTCAATTAAACCTCTTTCCTCCATTAAAACAACAACAACAACAAAATGCTCCAAACAACTGGGGAATGTTAGGGAAAATATTCCAAGAAAAAGAAGGGCCCAAGGTGATTACTGTATTTTCCTTTTAGAAGGATAATGGGAAGCCCATTGAAATTCTTTTCTGGTGAAGCTGCTTTTCACTTACAAATGACTTGACAGAAAACTCAAGTTTACAAAAAGAAAATGGCAGTTAATGTTAAGATGACTGCAAGTATAATTTGTAGAATCACTTGAGAAAAAAGTGAGTTTTTGATATGAGTTACTGAAGTGTATCTCTGGATATTATTTGGGGCTCCTTGGAGTAACAGAGGGAAATGATGTAGAAATGAAACTATAGGGTTTGGCCATGAGGCTGCCTCACAGCACTTGCATCAATTACATTTGTTAATTTCATCCATCCTTCGACTTATATTCATTAATTAATTCATTCATTTGTTTGCAAGTGTTTCAATGTGTCCTGAGAAGTATGACCATTGCAAAAACTACAATAACAAAAATAGAGTCATGAACTGTGTTTTCTTTTAATGGAAGTAAGTAATAACCATGTTTATTATAATAGGTCCCCTTGAGTTGCACTTAGTATTTAATATTTTTAAAGTCAAATAATTCTGTTGCCATGACCTTTTTTCCCCTCCAGATCACTAAGAAACCAGAAATGTGTAAATTAAATGTACCAGTATCCAAAGCTATAGTATTTATATTTTTTGAAAAGAGTAATATTATTTGTTAGAGATCTTGTTCAGTCATTTATAAATAGTCACCTTTGTAAAGCAAGAAATAACCTTGTTTAAAAAACCACTGACATTGTTGTTCTATTGTCAGCTGCTGGTAATTGAAAATGTGTTTCTGCCAGTTCTACCTAAGATGGAATGTAATTCCTTCTAAGATCTTGATCTTAAATTGGTAGCAAGAAAGCCAAAAAGGAAAAGCAAGAAGTCTTTGCTTGTTCTTTGCATGAGTAATTTTGTACTGCCCTTTCTGATAATGTGAGTTATTATTCTTACCGACTCTTGGAAGGCAGCAGTAGGCTTCTATTTTTTTTTTTTTTTTGCAGCTCTGTTTTACTCAATTGATATGGAAGTGGGTCTCTGCCTGGCTTTGGAACACACATTTGTAATGTTTATTTTAAAATAAAATCCAGATTGCTTTGTTAGAACAAGCATCTATACACAGTAAATAGCTGAAGTCTTGCCACAGTCTCCTCAGCTTCGCTGCTCCTGAGAGACCACAAACTTGTCCTGGAACATGTGTAACCTAATAGCCCAGAGTATAACAATGATGACAGGGAATCAGTCTTGGTCTCAAAATATATTGATCTGGGATAATCTTAACTGTTACCAGCCTCGATTAGATAACTACCCAAATCTAATATTTCAGAATGATCACAGTCTGCCATGCTTATCTATATTTCAAGGAATGCAAACAGAATTTTAATTACATTTGTAACACTGCCTGAGGTAATCATATCACAGAAAATACTGAAGAGCTCTTCTAAAATTCATATTTTTTTCCTGTTGGAGGAAATACAGAGGACAGCTGGAAGTAAGAGTAAAATTCTTTCTTAATCATCAGAGAATTTGAAAAATAAACAAACAAGTTGATTTGGGGGAGATGATACCTTCTCATCAACCAAGTACAAGGAGCAACTTAATCTTGGAGTTGGGATAAGTTTATGAGGTCACATAGGCAATTTTTTTCACTAGAGCTCCAACTCCATCTGTATTATTTTGAATAGAGGTCGCCCTGACTCTCACCACTTCTAGAGATTGGGAATTTACTATTTAGCAATGCAGTTTGGCCAATCCCATTTCTAAAGCACTCTAAATGTTAAGAGAGTTCCTTATATTGAGGCAAAAAAAATTAGCTTCCTCTGGAACTTCTTTTTATTGTTCTTTGTGCTGTCCTGTGGAATTAACCGAATACATCTAATTAACTCCTGTTTCACATGACAGTCTTTCAAATATTTGATGATACCTACCATGACCAGTGTTTGGTCCAGTGGTGTTAATTTTCTTTCCTTTGATTTCCTGCACACGGCAGGGATGTAGGAATGGGGTTAACTTCTTTCTCCTTTTTCTTTTTAAATCACAAAGGTGTCCTTTAAAAGGGCTACTCTTGCATTGCCTTTGTATAGGCTCTTAGCTAAATTAAGTACCATGCTTACTTTAGCCCTTCAATATATGTGATATTTTATATCAAACTGCATATGTATTTTGATGTTTAAAATTTCTGGTCATTAGGCATATAAGCATTTGGATTTTTAAACAAAGGATCATCTTGATGATACCATGTATGAAATTAGCACACTGATTACAGTGAAGTTTAAAAATTAGAACCTCATATGCCATAGTTTGTTGACTTATTTAAAATTAGTTCATGTGGCATACAGATGGTAGAAATACAAATCTGAAGCTGAACCATCATATGTTCAACTGCTTCAAGATATTGTGATAAATAAGAAGCAGTACTTAGCGAACTCAATCTATCAGTTAGTAGAGGGAAGACAGGTAGGTGGGTGTCAGACATGTAGTATGTTTTTCCCAAAGATGAAAATAAACTTATGGTGCATGTCTGGGAAGTTTTCCTGGTAAGCTCATTTGCTGAGACATTCTGACATCCACAAGTTGTTGTAGATGACTGTATGAATTAACTGAGCCTGCAGATGCTTCTCTGAAGCCAGAAACTCCGTGCTATGCACCCATGCAACATGAAGTGGGAGAGCAGTGGCATGAACTGGGAAATGTCAAAAGGCAACTTTTCAAGTTCTAGATCTTGACGGAGGCTGGACATTCATGAGACTAACGGAATTATGGATTGCACTGTATGTAAACCGGATCTCACCTGGAAAATAAAGAAACCAAATCAAATAAATGTTATAGGGAACTTTCTGAAACCACACTACAATATCCAGATGTGGCTTTGTTTCTTTGCAAGTGAATCGTTGCAATGTGGTTTTTCAAATGCTGGTATCTAAAGACCAAATTCTCAAAACTTTGGGAACAAGGAAAGGAGGAAACTTTAATTTATCATGGACCTTTCACACATTCAAAGGATAAAACTTGATTCTCTGGCTGCAGTGGTGCATAAATCCCATAAAGCTAGTCAGCCATTGGCTAATATTCTAAAATCCCTAAAGCACCAGTTAGAGTGGGAGAAAGAAGTCCCATTTAACTGGGCATCTAAGATGCTTTACTGATAAAGCAGGACCAACAACTCTATCTGAGGCATTGCAGCATCGAGTTCCCCTGAAACTAATGGGATCATTGTACTTTATTAGCCTTTCTTACAAAGCGTCCGTTTAATGAAGCTTTGGTAGGAATTAACTTTTTTTTTTTCCTTTTGATGCCCAAAGAACTATCTAGTTAAGGTCATTCCACTTAAAAGCATTTTTTCTCATTACTCAAATGAATCAACAAAATAGAAGTCTCAACTTCTTGCCTCAATAGGATGGTCCAGTCCCAAATGGGAGCACTGGATAAACAATGCATGAAGAGCACATAGAAAATAGCAGAACTTTGAGTTTCCTGAAGCTACTGTAACTACAGTCTCATAAAGAAGAATGATTATGGAAAATGTTCAGTCAGATAAAGCTGGAAGCTCAAGGATGACAATTCTCTTTCATACAACATTGTACATAAGTCTATAATGTTCTCTTTTTAAGTGGTATTTAAAAATGGAGTAAAAGCCATATGAACATTTCATGTTTTTAAAGGTTTACCTCAATCAGAATTTTGGAATGCATGATGAAATATTAATTTAAAACCATGATAAGTTTGGTTAATTTTAATTAATTTAAAACCATTATGATTTGTAGCTAGATGTTTTATATGGTCTCCACCTACATTTTGGAGCTAAAAAGCTAAGAAATTAAGAAATATCAAATATCAATCAAATATCAGTCATCAAATGTGCATGTAATAGTGCAAAATAAGAAAGAAATAGATGACAAGGTTCTTATTTCAAAGCTATTATAATCCAGGTAGGAGAATGAAATGAACACACATAGTCAACATCTAAGTGATAATGAGATAGGCATACAGTTTAATGCTAGGGGGGCATAAAAGCTAAGAAGTGATGTGTCTGCATGGGCTACAGTTGTCATGGACCATGTAATGTAGATAAGGTTCTTCAGGACCTGGAGCATGGAAAATTGGAATTGATGGGGATGAGGAAAAAGAGCACTTTTCTAGATAGCTTTTTGGAATGGCAGTGATGGGGCGGGACTTGTTGATGCAGAAGAACAGGGGGAGCTATTAATAGGTTAGAGAAGAAATGTGATGGAGGCCCTAAGTGCCTCCATCCAGTCCAATGTGAGAAGTAACAGACAACTTTGGGACATACTGAGCAAGGAGGCAATGGGATCGCGGTGGGTAGAGGAGGCTGGGTAGCACAGGGGAACCAGCCCGACTTATCCCTCAATCCCCAGAGTCCAGGTAAAGCTCAGTGTCTGCATCTCATGACAAGGATTCCACAGGACCAGCCACATAACACTTCCACATTGAGCAATGTGAAAAAAAAAATGCAGTTGCATTTGAAGAACTAGAAATCATTACTCACGTATAAGATGCTCGTGTTTTCATATGATGCTGGCAGTAGTGTTGACAGAAATAAAGGTTGCGAGGAGGTTGTTCAGAGCATTCATGTGTAAGCAGATGAGGATCAGGACCATGTTTATTAATGACTCAGGATGAAACTGAAGACTTAAATATAGAAATCGGAATTATTGGGTCCTGCTGTATTCTCACTTCTGATTTCCATCTAATGAGGTAAACATCTTTCCAGCTTTATTAGTCTCAAAATATACTTCAGGTCATAAACTTGTGACTTTTCATCAGTTGGTATGTTATGTAAATGCCATTTGTTATAATTTGCTCAATTATTGCCTAGCAAAATACCACACAACTAATACTCAACAAAATGCTAATTGATAACAACTGTGATTATGTCTAACAAAAATAAACATTCGAATAAAGTTCTTACCATTAAAATAAGCTCAAATACCCCCCTTAATAGTAGTAAGTTAATAACACTCTAATTTTTTTACATTTTCATTTGAGGGAGGAAAGTGAGAGATGTTTCAAATCTATGTTGCTCATCAGGCCTTGCATAGGAAGAGGGGAAGTACATTTTAAGGTTCACTTTTGCTTGATCAGCCAAGAGAATGGAGATGATAATGATAAAGCCTTATAAAAAGAAAGTGAATATTTTATCCCTAAAAGAAAACCAGCAAGACAACTTTTAAAAAATTCCATTAGGAAAGGAAGATAAGCAAAGTCTTGTTTCAAATCTATATAAACTGCAGTCAGGCTGATAGTTGGCAGCATAATTTGATGGCCTCTGTATATTTGCACACATACTGTTAGCAGCGAAAAAAAAATCAGGTGTGTATGTTTTCTCTTTATTTCAGAGAATTCTATGAGTTTAAGGCTGGAAAAATCTATCACACGAGCTTGTGATAGCAATAAGAGATAAGAAGACAAGTAAGGGAAGGCCTTCCTGTAAAAAGTGCCTTGGAAATTTCTCATCACACCAAACTGATAAAAACTCAACATGCAGAGCACACTAAGAATAACAAGGTCTAAAATGAGATTCTATTTGCTCTGCAATAGAACAATATTGGGTAGAGAATTGGTGGGCCTCCTCTCTAAGCAGGACCCCAACGTTTCTATTCAAGAACCTTCCCAATTGTCTGTTCAGCACTTCTTGGCACTTTTTCATATGCCAACTGTATGGGTCTCATCTTGTCCCCCTAAAAGATATGTTGAGGTTTGAACCCCAGTACCTGTGAATGTGACTTTATTTGGAAATAGAGACTTTGTTAAGCTGGGATCCTATTGGAGTGGTGCAGGCCTTTAATCCAATCTGACCGGGATTCTTATCAGAAGAGACACAGGGAGAATGCCGTGTATCGATAAAGGCAGCGATTGATGTGGCTAGAAATCAAGCATTGCCAGGACTACAGGAGAAACGAAGAGAAAGGTATGAAACAGATTCTTCCCTAGAGACTTCATTCAGAGAGAGCGTGGCTGTGCCCACACCTTGATTTCATGTCTTCCAGCTTCCAGAACAGTAAGACAAGACATTTCTGTTGTTTTTAGGCACCAGTTTGTAGTACTTTGTTATGGCAGCACAGCAAATGAATATACCAACCATGATTCATTATCAATAGTCTGGTGTAAAAAATCTTGTTTTCCACAATGAGACAGCAACCTCCATGAAGGCAGCGTCCATGTACTATACGCTTCTTCTCTGAAGCATCTAGTTCACTGTTACAATAGATACCAAGCCCTTCATTGTAACCACTAATGCCACGCAGTCTTCTGGAGTACAAAGTTAAGACTGCTGAACAGGTGGCAAATGGGTGCTAAAATCTGCTGGATGCTAATTGCTAAATGGATGAAGCCTCTGGAGTGGATTTGTTCTAAAGCAAATTGCTGTATATTTTACTTCGTAAGTGTTTTCTAATGATTTCTATGTTGCCTGCTTCCATAAAATATTTTACTTGAGTGACACAACTAACAAGCATAAAACAGGACAATTAAAACAAAATGGAAAATGTTAGGGGTAAAAAAGAAGGATCAGAAAAGATGTAGTTTTAGCAACGTGATAGTTACTACAATTGAGAGCTAACTGTACCTCTGAGCTTACTGGCAGCCAAGGAAAAAAGGTTTTATGGTTGGTTTTGGATCAAAGGGAAAACATTTAACTTCACCTAAAAGATGAATTTTCTATTTCTCATAAAACCTATAAAAATTTGTATGTGAAGTCTTAAAGTAAATTTTTATGGAAACAATGTATAGTCAAGAAACTAAATTGTTAGTTTCTTTGACAATTATTTGTCAGAAGACTTCGATGCATTTTGCAAATGGACATATTTTAAGTAACTCCTGAAAGGATATAGAGGATGTTTATGGATTTAGTCATTTATTCATCCCACAAAAATGTTTAAGTACCTAAAATGTGTGAGGTGTGAGGTGTTAAGACCTAGGTGCGATCCCTGTCCTCAACAAACTTTTTGATTGGTGAAAATACAATTCATAAGATAGAGATTGTAATGAAACATGGCATTTCAATAACCAAAAAAATGAGCAAGGCATTGAGAAACACAGAACCTAGCTCAGGACATAACACTAGGATGTTATTTAAGGTAAGATTCGATGGGAGCTAAAATTACACAGTCCAGTTGCATTTTGTCCCAGTAGCTGGCAGGACTATTATAAATCGAGAGAAAAAAGCAGAGCTTAAAAATTTATGATCTGTTGGCCCAATCTCCAGTAGAGTGGCTTTTTTTGTTGTTGTTGTTCACACAATCATATAATACTTTTTGGCACGTTTGAATATTAAAAATATTTTTGTGTTGTCAATTAACAACTTATGGTATAAATTTGTGGGGTAGAAAGTGACATCATCATAATGGATACAATATGGAATGATTAAAGCCAGATAGTTGACATATCCACCAACTTCAATACTTAATGATTTTGTGGTGAGAACATTTGAAATTTACTCTCTTAGCAATTTTGAAGTGTACAATAGTCTATTATTAACTATATTCACCATGCTGTGCAATAGAACTCAAGGAAAAAGAATATACTCCTTGCATCTGAGATTTTGTGCCCTTTCATGATGTGCCCATCATCTCCTCATTCTTCCATCCCACAGCCTCTGTAACCACCATTTTGCTCCCTGCTTCTATGAGTTTGATTATTTTAGATCCCACATATGAGTGAGAACATATGTTATTTTTCTTTCTGTGCTTAATTTATTTCACTAGCATAATGTTCTCCAGTTCCGTCTGCGTTGCCGTCAATTACAGATTGCCTTCATTTTTATGGCTGAATAATATTCCCATGTGTGTATGTACCACATTTTCTTTATCCTTCATGTATTGATGGCCACTTAGGTTGAATCCATAACTTGGCTATTGTAAATAGAGCTGCAATTAATTTTTTAAAATTACATTGCTGGCTTCTTTGGAAATAGGGAAATCTGAACCATATAGCAACAATTTGCTTCATGATTTGGTCATCTAGGTTTGGGAAAGCACTACCCTGGATGGTCTCCCACAATAACCAGTTGATTTGTGGTGTGTTTGTGGAGTGGGTACACATAATTGATATGTTCTCTATGAGCTCCAAGTGTTAACACTCTTGTTTTCCAAAAGTAACTTATGTTTATAGATCAGAGACATTCAAGTTGCATGGTTATCATTCTGTTGCAAAAATATAAGACTAGGCCTTTATTGTTACCTGAGTGTAATGCTAAGCTACTGTCAACCAAAGTGAGTTGAGGGGTACCTGAAAAATATGCATGCATTATTTTTCTCTCAAAAGAAGAGGATCAATCTATTCCAACAACTACTATGTTGGTGCAAAAGTAATTGCGGTTTTTGCCATTACTTTCAATGGCAAACCCGCAATTACTTTTGCACCAATCTTAAATGAACAAGTACTTCAAATTCCAGAGTTATGCAACACCTGGCATGGCAAGTCACATAAAGTGTAGTAATGACAAAAACCACCATTTACGGAGCATATATAGTGCATCCAGGCATTGCATTTCATGCTTTATCTACATTTTCTTATTTAATCTCCATAATAAACATATGTGGCCTAAGTTATTACTGTCACTCGACAGCAAAGAACCTGGGGCTCAGGCAGAGATTTGGCAACTTGCCTGAGGTTTCCAAACTGGTAAACGGGCAAAGCTGGAATTCAATTCTAGGTCTGTTTGACACCAGAATCTGAGTTCTCAGTTACTGGACTATTCCATTTACGAAATCAAAGGTCTCAACACAAAACTATACTGCACACAAACAAACTATACTCGTACATATGCATACACTCATCTACTGTTGATGCTTGAATAATGTGAGGCTTAGGGACACTGCTCCCCAACACAGTGAGAAACACCAGTATAACTTTTGACTTCCCCATAAACTTAACTACTAATTGCCTAATATTGACCAGAAATCTTACCAATACCATAAAACAGTCGATTAACACACACATTGTATGTTATATGTATTACATTCTGTATTCCCATAAGAAAGTAAGCTAGAGAAAAGAAAATGTTATTAAGCAAATTGTAAGGAAGAGAAAATATATTTACCATTCATTAAGTGGAAGTGGATCATCGTAAAGTTCTTCATCCTCGTCATCTTCACGTTGAGTTGGGAGAGGAGGGGTGAGGGAAGGGGTTCATCTTGCTGTCTCAGGAGTGGCAGAGGTGGAAGAAAATCCATGTATCCATGTATAAGTGGACCTCTGCAGTTCAAACCCATATTGCTCAAGGGTAAACTGTATATACACAATACACATACACACACAATAGATATTCTGTGCCCAATATTTTAACAATTATGACAAACACATCTTGTCTGAAGTCTTTTTCAGAGCTGTGTTTGATGAGATATTGTGAAGTAAGTGGATTTACTGGATTCTAGCTACAAAGAGCTTGACAATCTACAGGACCATAATAATGGGAAAAGGTCAAACTGTTTAGAAGACAGTATTGAGAAAGCTGATTCATTGTATTGAGAATAATAAAAATACCTATAGAAATGCAGATTAAAATAATAATGATACAACACTTAACAGCTATTCTATTGGCAATATTAGAAAGCTGGAAAAAGCCGAGTGTTGGTAAGCATGTGGAAATACAGCAGCGGTTCTCAGCCTTATTTGCAAATTAGAATCGCCCAGGGAACTTTAAATAATACTGCTGTGTCTATTCTGCTCCCAGAAAGTCTGGCTTAATGAGCCTGGTTTATAGCCTAGGTGACTGGATTTTTAAAATCTCCCCAAGTGAGCCTAACATGCAGCCAGGCTTTAGCACCACCAAGATAGAAAAGCTGTCATGGTTACCAGTGCCCTTGTAGCCATTCTCGAGAACAACTGGCTGTACTTGAATTATATTTACGTATACCACATGATCCAACAATCTTGATCCTGAAGATACATCCCAGAGGAATTCTCACAATGATCCCGAAAATACATGTGTATACAAGGATGTTCATCCTATTGTTACTCACAGTAACAGGACTGCAGACAATCTGTTTGTCCATCAAGGGGGTGAATAAATGGCCAAGTGGACAATTTAGGCAGGAGGCTGGATACAAGAGCCTGGCATACAGGGGAGATGTCTGGGTATAAGTTAGAGGGTCACCAACCTATAGATGACATTTAAAGTCACAAGACCTAATGAGATCACTTAGAATGTAGATGGGTAGATGAGGCAAAGGCCAAATCTTAGATATTCCTACATGTATGGATATGGTATAGAAAGAAGGAGCCAGCAGAGGAGATGAAGATGGAGTGGCTGGTGAAGAGGAGGAAGACAGGTGGAAATGCAGTGTCAGGAGAACCCTGACAATTGAGGAGTGGTCATCTCTGTCACCTGATGCTGAGAAGTCAAGCAAACTCTGACTCTGGTGAGAAATAGATTTTGGCGATCTTGATAAGAGCTGTTTCAGTTTCATGGTGGGGACGAAGGGCCAATTAAAATAGATTTTTGAAGAGAATGGGAGGTAGGGAAGAGAAAGGAGTGAGTGTAGTGAGTCCTTTTGGGGAATTTTGTATGAGCATAAAAGAAAAGTGGGATGATATCCCAAAATCTAGAGGGAGATGTGGGGCAGGGTGAGTGTTGCTTTAAAAGATGGTTAGTATGAATATGTGGCTGACCGTCCTGGGGAAGGATCTAGTAAAGATGATTTGATTGATGTTGCAGGAGAAAAAGGAAGCAAGGTCATGGGGGAAGTGCAAGGAAGTGGATTCCAGGCACACATTTAGGGCAGGGGATGTGGCAGAAGATGCAAGTCTGTTGGTGGAATTGGGGATGAGAAATGTTTCTTTTTTTCCGTAAGTATGAAATACAGCCATCAGCCGAAAATGAGAGGTGTAGGAGATGTTGGAGATTGGATAAGAGAAGAAGTTGTGAAACAGTCACTTAATTTACAAGAGAACTGTTGTTGTTGGCTGGATCATTCCTGTCATGACTGACGTCAGTTTAGATGCTATTTTCCTAAGAAATCTCTTAGCTGCCCTAATAGTCAGAACGTCCCCTATCCGAGCCCTTACACATCATGTTGTCATGGATGTTTATTTGCCTCTGTGTTCTTTCTTATCACTTCCTATGACAGAGTTTGGGTTTAGAGTTAGAAACCCAGTGCCTGGCACAGTGTTCTCCACATATATTTAATTGTTAAGTGAATTGTTGTGCATGTATGGAAAGAGTATGTGTCAACAGAGTGATACCTATTTTAAAGCATACAGGATTATTTTCAGTGAAGTCTGAAAGTGCCCTCTTGCGGATGCAAGTAAATCAAGGCTAAGTATTTAATATTCAACAATACTATCATCTTGATTCAAGATTTAAGTATCATTCCTCCTAGAATAATCCCACATATTGTTTTCAAATAATTGTAGCAATAATTGCATATAAACAGATATATACCTTTAAAATTCAGAGAGCTAGTATTGGGGAAATGACTCACAAGGATGCAATCTTCCCAGTCCAAATTTTCTAGGATAAAATCTCAGCAAAACCAATGCCTCTTAGCATTTTAAGTCAATGAGATCACATTTAGAGTGAAATGTGTTCAGAAATATATTACCTCGTCCTAAACCTCTATGGGATCCATATACTCTTGATTTAGACTGCAATTTTTTCCAATAAGCTACATCCGGATTTGGAGGAATACATTTTCATTATATGTACCAGCTAATCCTTTAATAACTGAAACCAGTGTAGGTAGCTGACACTTAGATGCCCTCAAAATTACTTTGCTCAAATGTTGGCTGTAAAACTATGTAGCTCTATGCATGAGATATACAGGAAAAAATGTTTTTACAAACCTGGATCTGTCATAAACAGTATCTTCAGGCCCTACTCTCTTCACACCAGAGATAATTTTTTAGCTGTTGAAAAATATTCCAAATCACTTTCTAGGTAACGAAGATACAGTAAATAAAACATTTGTCGTTTGGGGCTTAGAATCATGTGATTATAGCTAAAAAGGCCTGACTTCTTTAAGTTAAAACATGGTTGTCTTCCCTTCCTTCCTCCCTTCCTCCTTCGGTCTCTCCCTGTCCGCCTCCCTCCCTCTCTTCTTTCCTTCCTTTCTCCTTTCCTTCCTTTCTCTGTCCCTCCCTCTCTCCCTTTCTTGCTCCCTTTCCCTATCCTCTCTTCCTCTCTTTTCTTCCTTATTATCTTTATTTATTGTAATTATATATGTGTGTATATATCTATATCTATCTATCTATATCTATATATCTATCTATATATCTATCTATATCTATATCTGTATCTATATATAGTTTTTTTTTTTTTTTTTTTTTTTTTTTTTTTTTTTTTTTTTTAAGATGGAGTCTCGCTCTGCCTCCCAGGCTGGAGTGCAGTGGTGTGATCTTGGCTCACTGCAACCTTCACCTCCCAGGTTAAAGCGATTCTCGTGCCTCAGCTTCCCAAGTAGCTGGGATGACAGGCGTGCTGCACCACGCTTGGCTAATTTTTGTATTTTGGTAGAACTGTGTTGGCCAGGCTAGTCTCCAACTCCTGACCTCAAGTGATCCCTCCTCGTTGGCCTCCCAAAGAGTTGGGATTACAGGTGTGAGCCACCGCATCTGGCCTTATTATCTTTCTTTTAAACAACTATTTATCAAGGTTCTACCCTGCACCAGGAACTGGGGATATAAAAACAAACAACGACTTGATCGTTACATAGTCTATGCATGTAACAAAATATCACATGTACCCCATAAATATGTAAAATATTATGTGTCAAAAAATTACAAAAAGAAATGAAAGACACTGCAGTGGGAGCGAAATTACATGAATGAATAAAACACTGAGTGATAAGCGCCAAAAGAGATAAGTAAACATTGTCTAAGAGAACAACGGGTTAAGGAATTCATGTTTTTGAGAATAAATGCCAAGAGCTTAGTGGCATGTCAGAAAAGTCTTTAAGGAGAGAGTCACATTTGAGTTAGACTAGTCAATAAGTAAACTAGATTACAAAAGTTGGTTTAAAGAATTTCAAGGAAAATTTTGATGGGATACAATTGTGTTGTTTATTTTCCAAATATGTGAAGTTTTTGAAGATATTTTATCATTATCAATTTCTAATTTAATTCTATTATGATTAGAGATCTTGAAATGTATTAAAACTTGCTTTACAGTCCAGCATATGGTCTATCTTGGAGAAAGTACATGTTCACCTGTAAATAAAGTGTAGCATGAAGTTGTTGGATGTATTGTACTGTGAAAGTCAATTATGTCATTGTGGTTCGTAGTGACTTTCAGATCTTCTGAATTTTTTTCTCAGTTGTCAATTACCTAGAGAGGTGGTGTTTAAAATCTCCCTCCATGACTGTTGATGTTTCTATTTGTTTCTTTAATTCTGTCAACTTTTACGTCATATATTTTGAAGCTCTGTTATTAAACACATATACTTAACGATTGTTTTATCTTCCATATGAATCATTTTGAAATGTCTTTTATCTGTTTTAAAATATCTCTCTTATCTTCGATAACAATCTTTGTCATGAAGTGTACTTTATCTCATATTAATATGTCCATAGCATCCTCTTCACAATGATTCCATAGTGTATGTTTTTCACCCTTTTACTATCAACCTGTTTCTGTCTTTATATTTAAAGTACTTTAGCTGCAAATGAAAGGATTGTATTCTTTTTTATGGCTGAATAGTATTTCATTGTGTGTATATACCAAATTTTCTTTATCCACTCATTTGTTGTCGGACACCTAAATGAATTCCATATCTTGGCTATTTTGAACAGTGCCACAACAAAGATGGGGTGCAGATGACTCTTCAACATATTGATGTCCTTTTTTTTGGAAAAATTCCTAGTAGTGGAATTGCTGGGTCATATGGTAGTTCTATTTGTAGATTTTTGAGGAACCTCCATACTGTCATCCACAGTGGCTCTACTAGTTTACATTCCCAAGAACAGCCTTTATTGTGCCGGGGGCACTTTCCTTCTATATCCAATTTATTAAGAGGTGTTATAAAGGAATATTAAATTTTGTCAAATGCTTTTTCTGCACGTATTGATATGATGATTTGGTTTTTGTCCTTCATTCTGTTGATGTAATGTATTATGTCTATTGACATGCTTGTGCTGAATCATTCTTGTATTCCTGGGATAAATCCCATTCAATCCTGGTATATTAACTTTTTGATTGCTGTTGAATTTGTTTGCTAGTATTTGTTGAGGATTTGTGTGTCTATGTTCATCAGGAATATTTGCTTATAGTTTCTTTTTGTGTTGTGTCCTTGTCTGGTTTTGGTATCAGTGTTACCCTGGCCCTGTAAAATGAGTTTGAAAAAATTCCCTTCACTTCAATTTTTGGGATATTCTGAGAAGAATTGGTATTAATTCTTTTTTGAAGGTTTGATAGAATTCGGTAGTGAAGCCATTGGTCCTGAATTTTCCTTTGTTGGGAGACATTTTATTAATGATTTAATCTAGTGACTTGTTATTATTCTGGTTAGGTTTTATGTTTCTTTCGGAATCAATCTTAGTGGGTTTTATTTCTCCAGAAATTCATACATTTTCTCTAGGTTTTTCAAAGTTATTGTTGTATAGTTGTTCATAATAGTCTCTAATAATCTTTTGTATTTCTGTGGTATCTGTTGTGATATCTGCTTTATTATTTCTCATTTTATTTATTTGGGCCTTTTTTTTCTTATTCTAGCTAATTGTTCATCAATTTCGTTTATCTTTTCAAAAAATCAACTTTTTATTGATTTTTGTGTTTTACCAGACTCAATTTCATTTATCTCTGTTTTGATATTTATTTCTTTTCTTCTACTAACTTGGGATTTGGCATGTTCTTACTTTTCTAGTTTCTTAAGTTGCATTGTTACATTATTTATTTAAAATCTTTTTAGTTTTTTTGATATAGACATTTATTGCTGTAAACTTGCCTCTAGATACTGCTTTTCCTGTGTCCCATAAGCTTTGATATGTTGTGTTTCCGTTTTTATTTCTTTCAAAAAATTTACATTTTATTCTTAATTTATTTCTTTATCCATTCATCATTCAGGAGCATGTTGTTTACTACATAATTTCTATATATTTGTATATTATTGAATATTCCTATCGTTATTGATTTCTAGTTTTATTCTATTGTGATCAGGTAAGACCCTTGTTAGGATTCTGGTTTTTAAAAAGATGTTTTGAGGCTTGTTTTGTGTCCTTAACATATAGTCAGTCCTGGAGAATGTTACATGTGCTGTAAATTCCCCTTAAATCTTATAAAATTTCCTGTTTATATCTGTGTGTTCTGGTGTTGGGTGCATATATAATAGTTGTTATATTATCTTGCTGAATTAGTACATTTGTTATTATATAATGTCCTTCTTTGTCTCCTTTTATAGCTTTTGATTTGAATTCTGTTTTGTCTAATATAAATATAGCTGTTCCTGCTCACTTTTGCTTTAGTTTGCATGGACTATCTTTTTCTTTCCCTTCATGTTCAACCTACCTATGTGTGTCTTTACAGGTTAGGTGAGTTTATTTTGGCAGCATATAGTTGGGTCCTCTTTTTTGAATCCATTCAGCCAGTCTATATCTTTTAAATGGGGAATTTAATTTACTTATATCTAGGGTTATTATTGATAGGTGAGGACTTACTCCTATCATGTTGATTTTTTCTGGTTGTGTTATGTATCTTTTGTTTCTTACTTTCTCTCTTGTTTATTTTTGTTGTTGGTTGTTTTCTGTAGTGATAAAGTTTGATTCCTTTCTTTCTCCTTTGTGTCTCAGACTACCAGTGAGTTTTATAGTTTCATATGGTTTTGTGATGGTGGTTGCTGTCTTTTCATTTCCAGATGTAAGACTCACTTGAAGTTTTCTTGTAAGACCATTCTAGTGGTGATGAATTCTGCTAGTTTTTGTTTGCTGGAAAAAGATGTTATTTCTCTTTCACTTCTGAAGAATAGCTTTGCTAGGTGTAACATACCTGGCTGGCAGTTTTTTTCTTTCAGTTCTTGAATATGTCATCCCTTTCTCTCCTGGCCAGTAAGGTTTCTGCTGCTAAATCTGTTGTTAGTCTTATGAAGATTCCCTTCTATGTGACTTGACACTTTTCTCTTGCTGCTTTGAGAACCCTTTCTATGTCTTTGACTTTTGACAATTTGAATATAATGTGGTTGGTAGAAGATTTGCTTGGGTTGAATCTACCTGGGGTTCTTTGAGCTTCCTGGACCTGGATGTTCATCTCTCTCCCATGACTTGAAGTTTTCAGCTATTATTTTATTAAATATGTTTTCTGCATTTTTTCTTCTCTTCTCCTTCTGTAATGCCCATACAGCAAATATTTGCTTAATGGTGTCCCATAAATCCTGTAGATTCTCTTCATTTTCTTCTTTCTTTCTTTCTTTTCCTTTCTTTTTCTTCTTTCTTTTCCTTTCTTTTTCTCCTTCCTTCCTTCTGTCCTTTCTCTTTCTCTTTCTTTCTTTCTCTCTTTCTCTCTCTCTTTCTTTCTTTTTCTTTCCTTCTTTCTTTCTGCCTGTCTCTCTCTCATTCCCTTTCTCTCTCCTCCTTCCCTTCCCCTTCCCTTTCCCCTTCCCTTCCCTTCCTTTTCCTGTATTACAAATCACCTGTCTTCAAATTCAGAAATTCTTTCTTTTGCTTGGTCTAGTCTGTTATCAAAGCTATCTATTATATATTTTTTATTTCATTCATTGATTCTTTCAGCTATATGATTTCTGTTAGGTTCTTTTAAATCATATTTATCTCATTACTGAATTTCTCATTTAAATAGTGAATTATTTTCCTGATTTCATTTAATTGTCTATCTGTATTATCTTGTATTTCACCAAGTTAAGATTATTATTTTGAATTCTTTTTCTGGAATTTCACATATTTTCTTATGATTAGGGTCTGTTCTAGAGAATTGTGTTCCTTTGGAAGTGTCATGTTTTCTTGCTTTTGTATGCTTGATGTGTCTCTGTGATGATTTCTATACATCAGGTGGAAAAATCACCGCTTTCAATTTTATAAAGTAGATTTCCTAGGAAAAGATTTACTTGTATGAATAGATCTTGGATGTCAGTTTGATGGGCTATGTTGGGTTTGGCTGTAGGTGAATGCAATAGCGTTGTCTTTGTGTAGTTTCTTTAGCTATAATTCATGTTAGTGATGTTTGTGAGTGATCCAGTGGTGTAGGCTGAGACAGTTTGGTGCAGCTTTGCTGGAGTTGGGCTTTCTAGGCAGTTTTAAAGGTTGGGGGCATGTGCATGCACATCATGAGTCTGCCAACTTGAGGTTAGGATTAAGAGGATAGGTCTATTACTATGGCCAGGAGCATGAGCATGCAGTTAATTGGCCATCCTGGGGCTGTGCTTGTCAGGAGCAGCCTGCTCTGGGCTGTTTCTTGGGCCCAGAATTCCAGCATACAGTCTCTCAGCAGATCTGGGGGCACGTCTGCTGGGTAGTGGTGCCAGGGAAGTGGCAGGACTATTACTCAGGCCTGGGACCTGGCTACATGGCTTCTTCACTAGCATGTCTGTGTGTCTGCTGGGGGTTTCCCACATGGCTGCTTCTCAGGCCTGCATGCAGTTACACAGCTGCTTGGTCAACCAGCACACCTGGTCAGCTTTCATGTGGTGGATAAGCAGAAAAAAAGCAAAGGAAGCACAAGTCAAACTTCAGAATGAAGCATGAAAGAAATTCAACTATAATGGCTATTCCTTCAAAACTAATCTGTCATTTAACATTACATATAATAGATGTGCTTGAATTTATGGCTACCATCTTACTATTTGTTTTTGCTTTCCTATATACTTTTTGTTATTCTTTTGTTCCTTTCTTGATATCTTTGGGATTAAATAAGTGCTTTTTAGAACTTTAATTTGTCAGATAGCTTTTAAAAAGGCTATACCTCTTTTGATTATTTTTAGTTTTTGCTGTAGAGATTACAATAAACATTCTTAACTTTTCACAGACCTTTAGAGTCAATATTGCAGTACTTCATGTCAGATGTGTGAAACTTGGAAATGCATAAATTCATTTATCCCGTCACTATCCTTTTTGTTAGATTGTTTCACATTTATTACATTTATGCATGAATATCATAATTCAATGATAAAGTTTTTAAGTAAGTCATATATATTTTAAAGAGATTAAGAGGAAAAGTTGGAATTAATATTTACTCATAGGTTTATCCTTTCTAGCACTCTTTTTTTTCCCCCAAAATGTAACTTTCCTTCCTTTCACTTCAGCCTGAGTAACTTTATTTTCCATTTGTTTATAGTTCAGGCTGTCACTGATGAGTTCTCCTAATCCTAATTTATCTTAAAATGTCTTTATTTTTCTTTCATTCATAAAGGACTTTTTGGGGCATACAATTTTGGGTTGACAGCCTCTCCTCTACTTGCCCCACCATTGTGGATGTAAAGTGGTATTTCTTTGTGGCTTTAGATTGCATTTTCCTAATAACAAATGATATTGAGCATCTTTTGGTGTGCTTTTGGTCATCCATATAACTTTTTTTGTTAAATTTCTATTCTAAATGTTTTATTTTTAGCCAATTTTAAGTTGGGTTATTTGTCTTATTATTGAAGTATAAGAGTTATTTATATATTCTGGATACAAGTCTCTTCTCAGATATATAGTTTGCAAATATTTCTCCCAGTCTGTGGCTTTCTTTTCTTTCTTAATAGTACTTTTTAAAGTGCAATCTTTTTTTTGTTTTTATTTTACTTTAAGTTCCAGGATACAAGTACAGAATGGGTAGGTTTGTTACATAGGTATACCTGTGCCATGGTGGTTTGCTGCACCTATCAACCCATCATCTAGGTTTTAAGCCCCGCATGCACTGGCTATTTCTCCTAATGCTCTCCTTCCCCTCGCCCCCTACTCCTGACTGGCCCCGCTGTGTGTTGTTCCCCTCCCTGTGTCCATGTGTTCTCATTGTTCAACTCCCACTTATGAGTGAGAATATGCAGTGTTTGGTTTTCTGTTCCTATGTTAGTTTGCTGAGGATGATGGCTTTCAGCTTCATCCATGTCCCTGCAAAGGACATGATCTGATTCCTTTTTATGGCTGCATAGTATTCCATGGTGTATATGTACCAAATTTTCTTTATCCAGTCTATCATTGATGGGTATTTTGGTTGGTTCCAAGTCTTTGCTATTGTAAATAGCACTGCAATAAAGATATGTATGCATGTGTCTTTATAGTAGAATGATTTATATTCCTTTGGGTACATACCCAATAATGGGATTGCTGGGTCAAATGGTATTTCTGGTTCTAGATCTTTGAGGAATCACCACACTGTCTTCCACTAATTTACATTCCCACAAATAGTGTAAAAGCCTTCCTATTTCTCCACAGCCTCACCAGCATCTGTTGTTTCTTGACTTTTTAATAATCACCATACTGACTAGCATAAGATGGTATCTCAATATGCTTTTGATTTGCATTTATTTAATGATCAGTGATGTTGAGCTTTTTTTATGTTTGTTGGCTGCATAAATGTCCTCCTTTGAAAAGTATCTGTTTATATCCTTTGCCCACTTTTTGATGGCATTGTTTGTTTTTTTCTTGTAAATTTGTTTAAGTTCCTTGTGGATTCTGGATATTAGACCTTTGTCAGATGGGTAGATTGCAAAAATTTTCCTCCCATTCTATATGCTGCCTGTTCTCTGATGATAGTTATTTTTTTGCTGTGCAGAAGCTCTTTAGTTTAATTAGATCCCATTTGTCAATTTTGGTTTTGTTGCAATTGCTTTTGGCATTTTCGTCATGAAGTCTTTGACTGTGCCTATGTCCTGAATGGTATTGCCTAGGTTTTATTCTAGGGTTTTTATGGTTTTGGATTTTATATTTAAGTCTTTAATCCATCTTGAGTTAATTGTTGTATAAGATCTAAGGAAGGGGTCCAGTCTGTGTTTTCTGCATATGGCTTGCCAGTTTTCCCAGCACCATTGATTAAAAAGGGAATCCTTTCCCTATTGCTTGTTTTTGTCAGGTTTGCCGAAGATCAGATGTTTGTAGATGTGTGGTGTTATTTCTGAGGTCTCTGTTCTGTTCCATTGGTCTATGTGTCTGTTTTGGTACCAGTAGCATGCTGTTTTGCTTACTGTGGCCTTGTAATATAGTTTGAAGTCAGGTAGTGTGGTGCCTCCAGCTTTGTTCTTTTTGCTTAGCATTGTCTTGGCTATACAGGCTCTTTTTTGGTTCCATACGAAATTGAAAGTATTTTTTTCTAATTCTATGAAGAATGTCAATGGTAGTTTGATGGGAATAGCACTGAATCTACAAATTACTTTGAACAGGATTGCCATTTTCACAATGCCAATTCTTCCTATCCATGAGGATGGTCCATTTGTTTGTAATCTCTCATTTCCTTGAGCAGTGGTTTGTAGTTCTCCTTGAAGAGGTCCTTCACATCCCTTGTTAGCTGTATTCCTAGGTATTTTACTCTCTTTGTAGCAATTGTGAATGGGATTCCATTCGCGATTTGGCTCTCTGCATGTCTTATTGTTGTACAGGAATGCTTGTGACAAAGTGCAAAAGTTTTAATGTGTGATTTTGCAATAGTTTTCTTTTATTGGTTACAATTAGGGTGTCATATCTAAGATATTTTGCCTAACTCTAGGTCATGAAGAATTATGCTCTTTTTTTTCCTAAGACTATAAGCTCTCATATTTAGTTATATGATCCATTTAAGTTAATTTGTGTGTAATGCATTAGGTAAGGCTCTAAAATATTTTCTTGTTTGCATGCATATAGATATACAATTGCCTCAGTATCATTTATTGAATAGACTATCCCTTCTTCATTGAATTGTTTTCGTATATTTGTTGAAAGTCAATTGACCATAAGAGTAAGGGTTTATTCCTGAACACTTAATTCTATTCCACTGGCATAGACGTTCATTGTTATGTAAGTACTCCACTCTCTTGATTATTTTAACTTTTTAGTAAAATAATCAGGAATGGACTTAAAGTCCTCCAAATTTGTTCTTTTTTTGGTTCTTTCAAAAAACAGCTTCTATTCCTCATCTGGTATTTCCTATTCATTTATCATGATTGTATTTTTCTTTATGTTCTTGAGCATAATTATATTACTGCCTTAAAACTCTTGTCTGCTAATTCCAGCATCTCCGTGTTGGTCTACATGATTTCCTTTTCTCTTGTGTATGAGTCCCATTTTCTGTTTCTTTGTTTGTTAGCTAATTTTGAACTATAGTCTGGACATTGTGCATGCTATATTATAGAAACTCTGGATTCTGTTATTATTGTTCAGTTTCGAAGATTATCATGCAATTAGTGGAGAAATAATGATAAAATTAGATAATCACCTCTTAAAACTCCTAATAAGTAATTGATTTAGGTGCCAGTCACCAATGAATGATATGTCAATTGAAACTAGGTAGTTGCATGGGTCCCAGATATAGGCCCACAGATTACTTGCCAGTTATAAAGTGAAAAATATACTTAACAGTGAAATAATCTTAACCCATACCTCAAGTGATCAAACTAGTGTCACTAACAGTAGGGAGCAATGTTATATTCTATGATTCCGGCTATGATATCAAGTACACAACTTTGTTTCTAAAATATTCCGTGAACATATTTAATATGAATATTTACATGTATAAAGATATTAATCAAATCTTTAGCTAGATAACAGAAAATATAATGGAAAGAAGCAAATTAAAACACCAGGAAAGAGACAATAAGATAAATGAAAAATGTAGAACAATCTATAAAACAACTGGGCAGGATGCATCAGAAAGTTAATTACGTTAGGTTAAGAAAATACAGGGGAGTTTTCTAGATTAAAACAGAGAGATACAACCAAATGAAGACTGAGAACTTTAATTGGATCCTGGTCTAAAAAGACTGGCTTTAAAAAACTTTTTTGGTGTTATTATTTGACATGTAATAGCTATACATATTTATGGGATAAGATGTGATATTTTGGTACATGTATACAATGTCTAATGATCAAATCTGGTAATTTGTATATCATCCCAAACATTGATCATTTCTTTGTGTCTAGTCTTTTAGCTATTTTAAAATATACAATAAATTGTTGTTAATTATAGTCACTCTATAGCTCTATAGAGCACTACAACTTATTCCTTTTATCTAGCTTTGCTTTTGTCTCCATTAACCAAACTTTGCTATCCCTTCCTCCTCAAATAAATTTTGAAAGCAAAACAATCAATAACATGAAATTTGCGTAGAGAAGATTACATTATGTTAGAGTTTTTAAAAATGTTATCAAGTATTATAATGTTCATTTTTTATAGAGAAAGGTGCTTTTTTTAAGGAGATGCAGACTGAAGGATGTGGAAGTGAAATGTCATGATTCCTATAATCCACTTTCAAGGTTTAGGTTCAGGAAAACAGACAGAGATTAGATATCTATATAAATAAATCATATGTGATAATGAGAACGCATGCTGAATCTAGGTGATCAGTACATACGTGCTCATTGTATTATTTCAATTTTACTATATGTTTGAAAATTTTCATAATAAAATATCAATGAAAAAATCTCTTTCAGCATTTGCCCATCCAACAGCTCTCAGGGTTCTGGGTAAGAACTGATCCAAATGCACTTTTGCTATTCTGTCTCCTACCAGGGCTTTGTCATTTATTTTTTCTTGGAAAGAATGCAAGACAATTTCTAGGCCAGTATGTGCCTGTATCACTCATACCTGAGAAGTAATTCTTTCTTTATTCAGGTATAACATTGGACAAAAGAAAAAAAATTGAGAACAGGGGAAAGAAGTTTCCATTGTCTCTGAGGCCTTCCATAAGAGCGAATCAAGAACTGACCTTATTTCTCAGATCTGGATGTAAACATGTACTCTTTCTGCCTCCTGCATCTGTGACCTCACCATGCCCAGCATAAGCTTATGCTGACCCCAGAGTGTGGCAGTATTATTCCAACTCAGCAGTTTGAGGAGAGCTTCCTTTGAGGGTATTCTATCAATGATTCCATCTTTCCACTACCCAGGAAGGTCCTTCTCCACCCCCACCTCTTCATTCCTGAAATAAAAGCCATTGAATAGTTCAATCAGCTTCATTAGTTGGCTAGTGTCAAGGGCCATTATAATCTCTGCTGTGATTTGATGATATCTCTTCACTTTGTTATTTTTCAGCTCCTAATTGCACCCTATACTTTTGACATCTCTATTGGACTGATGTTAATGTCAAGTTGTTCTGATTCATGT
This sequence comes from Homo sapiens, assembly GCF_000001405.40. Taxonomy (NCBI): domain Eukaryota; kingdom Metazoa; phylum Chordata; class Mammalia; order Primates; family Hominidae; genus Homo; species Homo sapiens. The sequence goes on from NC_000006.12 coordinate 155,777,687, forward strand.
GCTTCATTGAAATCTGGTACTGAGGCAGCTGAAATATGAATTGGTTGAAGACTTTTTGAAGTGCTCTAGCTACAAGCCTTTCTTTTTGACTTCTGTAGCACCTAGAAGTAGTTTTATTTTTGAGAAAAGAATAAATGCATATGAGTTTGAAATTGTACATGATGTTAAAAGTGCATCAACTTATGTTCAAATTAGAAAGGGAAGATATTAACAATACTTAATACTATGTAATTTTGGGAAAAATTAAAATAACTTAAAACAACTTTATAAGAGCAATACATGCTTATGGACAGAAAACACACACATATATTCCCCAAATCCAAAATACAGAGGATCAAAGAAGAAAATAAAAATGAACCGCAAACACCTTCCCATTCATTAGGTTTTTGCTGTACAATCTGAGAGTTTTTCTTTGTGTAAAAATATCTACTTATTCATTTTTTATTAAAAAATGCAATGAGACAATGGACATTTGATTCAAACCTGTGTTAATTATACTATATGCCACAGGCTTCATGCCAGTAAATATAGATATTTATACTTTTTACAGTTTTGCTATATTTCATTCATCAGTAATTAAACAATTTCATTTGTATGAACATTTATATCGTTTGAAAACTTTTCCTCGTCGTGTGTATGAAGCTACTCTTGGATCCTCGCCTAAGCCAACCACACAGCCAGCCATTTTTCTAGTCCTGCTTTGCGAGACTCCAGCCCATTTCCTACCAAAATGATTTCTATGACAAATCCTTCAACATGTAAATTTGGGAAACACTAATAACAAAGTAAAGCAGTCTTAATTACTCATGGGATTCTTGGGGTTCTTAAGATAATCCCTGTGAGTCAACAAGAGGGACACATGGCAATCATCATTTCCCAAATCCATTTCCTCACAGAGCATGTCAAGGACTTAATGTTCCATGGAAAACAATTTTAGAAATAGTATTTTGATCCCATGTCATCCTTGTTTATATTCCTTTCTATTTGGGTGTCCTGATGCCAACTCAAGTTCAAACTTTTTTTCTAATAGATTTATCATTTTTTAAATTACTAAATAATGAAAAAAGTTCACTTCAGTTAAAGATGCATTTATTGGGTATCTACTTTGTGCCAGGTATTGTCTAAAGTAGCAGGGATAAAAATTATTCATAAGAAACTAAATTTATAAAATAGAGGAGCTCCTAGTGGAGCCTAATGATTCCTTAAGAACTTCAGTGGATGGTAGGTTTGGATCTGTGTCCCCACCCATATCTCATGTTGAAATGTAATCTCCAGTGCTGGAGGTGGGGCCTGGTGGGAGGTGATTGGATCATGAAGGTGGCTTAGCACCATTCCCCTAGTGCTATTCTTGTGATAGAGTTCTCATGAGATCTGGTTGTTTAAAAGTGTGTAGCACCTTCCCACTCTCGCTCTTTCTCTGCTCCCAGCCATGTGAAGTGCCGGCTCCCCTTTCGCCTTCCACGATGATTCTAAGTTTCCTAAGGCCTCCCTAGAAGCCTAGCAGATACCAGAATAATGTTTGCTGTACAGCCTGCAGAACCATGAGTGAATTAAACCTCTTTTCTTTATAAATTACCCAGTCCCAGGTATTTCTTTTTTGCAATGCAAGGACAGACTAATACAAAGGACATTTAGTGTTTTGATGTCCCAGGTCTGGCCAATCAGACAGTCATAGTGTCTTGCACACAGAGACTCAAAGACAATCAGATGTAACTGGGGCTGTTGTTGTCACTGCTGATAAAGAGGTACACACTTTTTCCTCTGTATTTGAACCTGGGAGAAGCTGGCTAAGGGTCTGCTGACAGTGACTGTGTCCCAACCCAAAGACTGAGGGTCAAGTCAAATGGACAAGCACTGCACCAAAAGATGGAGGGCGGGTCCCGATGAGTTCAATCCAGCTGGTTTTGATTCATGTGGGATTCAGTTACATGAGCCAATTTTGGTTGGGTTTTCTGTGACTTGCATCCAAGAGAGTCCTCACTAATAGAATACTGTTTTTTGCTTGCTAAAAATCATTCAAAATGTGTTAGGAAACTTTGTTGGCTGAGGATGAATATAATTAGGTATGAAGTCAAGTCCTTTTTAATGATTTAGAAAAATGTAGTGTGAATCCTAAAAGTTGTTTTTTAACTCAATCTTTGATCTCAGCTTGCTTTCTTACAACTGACCTATTTTTTCCTAAAAGTGGAAGCACAATGAATTATGATGAAAGGTTTTGTTTAGGTTTGATTTTAGTTGACAGAAGTTTTACTGTGTATAACCATCTCAGTAAATGACCAAATAACCTAGATAAGTTTAAGTCATATTTACTCGTTTCTCTTAAATTAAGAAAAGTATTGTTACTGATCCCACATAAGTCAGGTTTCACCAAAGCCTGAAGGAGTCCACTTGAAAAAGGGTTTACACAAGAGAAGTCTCTGATTCTGAACTCCCCAAGTATTCTTCTACATTAAACTAGAGCCCCTCAATAACCCTAACTTACTAGCATTTTGATTAACCATTAATTGTATGCATCCCATTTTGAGGGTCCTTCTGAATGAAAACCCACTTCCCCCTGTCAACTCTACCGAATTTCCATCAGAGTAGTTGACTATATTTTTAATCTCATTTGTGGTGTGAGTTTTTCTGTCTCCCTGCTGAAGGCTGAGACCCTCAGGCTATATCTCCCAAGTTCTAACTCAGTATCTCTAGCGCCAACATACCATTTGTCCGTTGAAGCCTGGACTGGTCTTTTGCAGGCAGATTGGTCTAGAAATTTTTCAATAATAAATAAGGAATGGTAAGTTGTGCTCTTTGTCATCTCAAGTGAAACTGCTTTGCAAGTTTTAATTGTATTATTCAAATAACTGGAATAAATACATAATTATATGATCTAAGTCTATAATACTAGCTGGATAGGTCACAGGATAGCATCTTTCTAGATATGACAAACAGGTGGGACTGCACTTCCTGGTAACTATCAACTGTTTCTTTGCTTGCCAAAGAAACACAGATTCTGGAATGTGCCAGGAGAGGGTCTCAATGCAAAGTATATTTTTCTGAGACAGGGTCTCACTCTGTCTTCCAGGCTGGAGTCCAGTGGTGTGATCATGGCTTACTGTAGCCTTGACCTCACGGGCTCAAATGATCCTCCTGCCTCCACCTCCCCAGTGGCTGGGACTACAGGCGCTCACCACCATGTCTGGCTAATTTTTTGAATGTTTTGTAGAGATGGGGTTTTTCTATGTTGCCCAGGCTGGTCTTGAACTCCTGGCCTCAAGCAATCTGCTCACCTCAGCCTCTCATAGTGCTGGGATTACAGACATGAGCCACCATACCCAGGGCAAAATATATTTTTCTTTATACTTGGTGGGCTATTCCTCGAAGGCAGAATTTCCCAAAGTACACTGTATGTGATATTAGCTTTTGGTCTGGTCAAGAGTGAAAGGGAACAATGATACCTATAAAATAGAGGACAAAGTATAACCTGTAATAAAAGAACGACAGCAGAGCAGATGGACTAAGGAAATACAAAAGGAGGTACTCAGGAGCCACTTAAGAAATTTTAACAATAACTTTTCTTCCTTTGAGAAATTTGACAATACACAAATTTAGCCTTGGCTTTATTATTCCTTGCAAGTTGTATTTTAGGACAGTGTTAGACACACCATAATTTCAAAAGCAGAGATCGTAGAAACACAATTCTTATCAAGATTAATAAGCTAACTTTTCCAACAATGTTGTCCCTATTTCCATTTTATAAACATAAAAAGTTTGACCTTGTATAGGCAGTCTGAAATTCTTTTAAAAAACTGAGTATAAATAAATTTCATAAATGTGATAGTGGTCTATTTTGTTTAAAAAACATTAAAGAAATATTACACATTACAACATTACCAATTAACACTTTAATTTACTCATCTGCAATTTCTGAGACATTATTTATTGAAAATTAATAGGCTGACAAAAAGCAGAACCAATACGCAGCAGGCACAACCAGTGACAAATCTGAATGAATACTGATCAATCCAATTAATACCTGGGAAACTAAAATTAAATTAGTAAAATGCCTACTTGAGCTGGTTTATATAAGTTGGATAAGGTTATTTGGAATTCATCAATATCTGTTTTTCTTACAAATCATGCGCTTATTTTTAGTGTCTGTCCTTAGGCCACTGAAGAAATGGAAGTGGCCATGTGAATCGTGAAGCATGCATTGAATGTATGCATGGGCAAGCGATTAGGAGAAACTGTCTTATTGTGGAAGGAAAGCACATGAAGTGCTTGTCAAACTTCATGAGACATTGCACCTAGAATGGTAGAAGATGCTGGTATTAGGATTTTATTGGAGTAATTTCAAGTCACATACTTGATTGGCTCTAATTCAATGAGTCTGATCTATCATTTAGTTTCCTTGGACTTGAGATAAATGACTTATGGTGTGTTCGAAGGTTTTGGTCATGGTTGTGCTTCCAAACATAAATAACACTGCATGGAAGCTTTTCTTGAAGTTTGATTTTATATCACTTCATTCCTGAGCATTAACTAGATCTCTCTTACCCTTATGCTTAAAGCCTCCTTCTTCTGGGTTATGGATGATAAGACACATCACGATGGGAGGCCTGCTAGCTTCTGATCAGTTACTAAGAAAATTGATGTGTTTTAGTAGAAGGAGCATGGAGTTTCTTTCTCTTTGACTTAACTCAGACTGGGCCCCTCTCAGTCCTCTTTCTGACAAGGCTCTAATCTTGGGCTCTGCCCTTGGTCCAGTTATTCCAGTTTTAGCAAGAAGCCTGCTGAGTCAGTTTAGCAAAAATCCCCTACCCTCAGTCTGACCACCCTTGATACTGAATCACCCAGGCCTGCCTTCAGCAAAAATCCTGTGAGGTCACTTTAATACAATTGCCCTTCCTCTTAGTAATTTTCCATCCTCTGATACCCTACCCTGCTCCTTGGCTATAAATCCCCACTTTTCCTTATTGTTTTTGGACCTGAGCCCAGTCTCTCTCTCCTTCTATAATACAAAGCCCCATTGTGGTAGTCCTTCTTGGATGAAGTCTTCCTTACCATCTTTAATAAGTGTCACCAATAATTTTTCCTTTAATAAAAGCAAGGCATATTTCCACGGTGAGGCTGCCAGCTTCTGATTAGTTACTGAGAAAATCAGTGTGTTTTAGTAGAAAGAACATAAAGTTTGTGGTTCTAAGAACTGAACATACAAACTTTTCAATTAGGCAAGTCACTTAACTAGAGCTTCAGGTTTCTTGTGCGTAAATTTGGGCTAATGGTAACATTCTTCCAGGTTTTGTAAGGATTAAAGTCATGCATATAAAATTTCTTTGTAAACTGGGAAGTAAGTCATACATTTTTGTTACTGTTAGTTAAAGCACTTTAACTTGCTTATCACTCATAGACATTTACAGATCACATACTTCAAGATAAAATACGTTGCTTAAAGTCAACTAATGCAATACCCAAATTAAATTTAAACGTAACCCTCAATATTTCAAATACTTGAACACATTATTGAATTATATGTTATAGAAGCAAGAAAAAGAATCAACCTATTGGTGAAATGTGAGATGCAGGGTTACAGTTCGTTTCTCTCTTTTTTTTTTTTTTTTGAGATGGAGTCTCCCTCTGTCGTCTGGGCTGAAGTATGGTGGTGCGATCTCGGCTCACTGCAACCTCTGCCTCCTAGGTTCAAGCAATTCTCCTGTCTTAGCCTCCTGAATAGCTGGGATTACAGGCACACGCCATGACACTCAGTTAATTTTTGTATTTTTAGTAGAGATGGGGTTTCACCATGTTGGTCAGGCTGGTCTTGAACTCCTGACCCCAGGTGATCCACCTGCCTTAGCCTCTCAAAGTGCTGGGATTACAGGAGGGAGCCACCACGCCAGGCCTAGAGTTTGTTTCTACATCTTAACAAAATAGTTGCTAAATCCAGGAAGGCCCAAGGAGAGGAGTCATCTCACTGTGAGCACCTTTTTTGGAAATGGCACAAAATGCTCAGAATTTATATAGTTTTATAAAAGCTTAATGATTTAAAACTTTGCCATAGTTGATAAACAGCCATATTTATAGACTTCTCCTCTGGCATTTAACCTATTTCCTTTTTCCTCCCCCCTGCAAAAGAAGATATTTAGTGGTTTTTAAGAGGTTCCCCTGGTTGAAATCTTCTGTACAATACTTGCTTAATGAGCTCATTAACAACTGTTACTGAGAATTAATGAATCAAATCACAGTGGTAATCACCATATTGCAAATCACTGTGTTGTATTAGGTTATGATGGAGCCATACATTTTACAGTGATGACTTTCATACAATGAAGGCATCTGAACAGATTGTATCTTAGGTCTCATTGAAAGAACTTGATCATGTTTGGGGTATAGGAAAGCTTTTTGGAATTCCCTAAGCAGGAAGCAACAAAAGATTCTATTAGTAGAATATTATTCCATTATGCACATAGAGCATTTTGATTTTAAGTAATTATTCAGAGTGCTTTTGAAATCTATGTGAGTTTTATGTATTTGTCATAATCCAAACATATAGAAATCTCGCCATCTAATCAGGCATCTGCTTTAACATGATTTGCAGCAGAATAGCGAATAAAACATAAATGGCTACTGCAAGGGGATTTTTGTTTTCAGAATTGGCTGTACTGCCAGATAGCTTTCAGTTCAGAATATTTAAAAAAATCAATTTTTGCATTTAAGATAGTTCCTGAACTTTTAGTCTTGAGTTTCGAATTCTGTTAGAGAGTGCTCTAATAACGATGAGTTATCTCAATAAAACTGTTATAAAAATGAATTGATGATTATGATTCTGTTATATAAGCAGCAAATAATGTGTTGCCATATGCTAATATTGAAATTATAGGTATAAATAATTATCTGGTGTAGTAGATTTTTAAAATATATAGTTAAAAAAAGAATTACTCATTAGCCTTATTAAGTTACAACATTTTTCTTTTGCTATATAGCTTCATGGTTCAAGCATTTAAGAAGGTAATTCAAAATGATTTATTGGTTTCATATGGGAAAAATGGCTGATTGAATTAAAATATTTTTCCTTAATTAATGTACACAAACCAGGTATGCAGGTTAAATGGTGTTATATAAAGGAATTTTATCAAATTCAGAATATTTTAAGCAAATTTAACATTTATAATTTATTCTAATAAACAAATACTATTATATAATAACAACTGCACAGAACGCTGGATCTCAACTTGAATTTACTGGGAAAGACCCAAGTACAAAAAAGTTTTCCAATTGAAGGTTAATTCATTTTAGTGGCTAAAATTCTTATCTGCACAGGTTTTTAAACAACTATGCTTTTATATAGATACAAATATTACTTCTAGGAATATGTTCAGTATTATTTGATTTAATTTATTGTGAATATGTGTCAGTTTTTCTCCATCTTTACTCAACACAAATTAACTTAGCCACTGCCTTCTAAACACACTGTGGATATCTTTTCCAGGGAGCAGAGTGTAGAAGATGGGTAGAGGTTATGGAGTCACATTACTGGAATTCAAATGCCAGTTCTACCATTTACTTCCTGTGTAACCCAGGGCAAGTTAATGAATTTCTCTATGCCTCAGTTTCTTCACCTACAAAGAATTAGACTTTTTCTCAGTGAGATTTATGTAGAGAAAATGAGCCAATATAGATTTACTGTTTGAACATACTCAATGTTAAATAAGTGTTCAATAAATGCTAGTTGTAACAAAAGGAATGAGAAGCTAGTATATGGCAATATTATGCCTATTACATTGTTGCTAATTCTTACAAGAATGCTGTAAAGTAGGAAGTATCCCATTTGACAGATGTAGAAACTGAGTTTCAGAAAGAGTAATAATTTGTTCATAGTTGCTCACTGTCACAGGTGCTGAAAGTCAGAGCAGGGATTCAAAACAAGGTGCGTTCAAAGTTTCTTCACTTTCTTCTAGTGGTTTTGAACTCTGGCTGCATATTAGAATCATCTGGAGAGATTTTAAAAGCAACTGATGCAAGCTTATGGTTTCAGCTCCAACATGGAAAGAGCTTGGATAATACCACTCCAATCTTAACAACAAGCAAAATCTGAATAAACCAAAAGTCAATGACTTTCTCGAGGTTACAGGGCAAACCATCACCCTGAAATCTGGAGAGACAGGCAAATCCAGTGAGTTGCAGCTAAGATCCACTTACCTGAAGCAGAAGCACTTGGAGCCCATAAATGTCAGGAATGCTGCTATGATTTGAATGTGTCCCCCAAAGTTTATGTGTTGAAAACTCACTACCCAATGCCACAGTGTTAAAAGGTAGGACCTTTAAAAGGTGATTAAATCATGAGGGCTCTGCCCTCAAGAATGAATTAATGTCAGTATCTTGGGAATGGGTTCATTATCATGAGAGTGGGTTTATTATAAAAGTGAGTTCAGCCCTCTCTTGTCTTTCTCTCTGTCTTGCACACTCTCCTGCCCATATGCCTTCCACTATGAAATAATGCAACAAGAAGGCCCCCACGAGATGTGGACCCCCTTGACCTTGAACTTTCCAGCCTCCAGAACTGTAAGAAATACATCTGTTTCTTGTAAGTTACCCAGACTTAGGTATTCTATTATAGTAGCACAAATAGACTGAGACAAATGCTTCAATAGTAATTTTGATGAATTGCTGGCATGAAAGTGAGACACTCCTGGGGCTGCAGTTTTGGGTGGGAGGCTTTCACAAATTCTTCACAAGCTTCACCAGGTGAGGAGCAGAGAAAGATTTCCTCCTTGTTCTTGCAAAGGAAGGGAAGAGTAATCATCCTGAAATGCGCTTGGGGCATTCTCTGTATCAAAAACCTACTGGAGGAGGGTTTTATAAGAGCCTTATACTACTTGGAGGAAGAGAATTTCTTCCACTCCAACCCCATTTAGCCTTCCTATTTTATCTAAAAGGGATAGAGTGGGTGGAGAACACTTGTGAAGGTCATAACCCAGGGAAACAGGCCCACTAAAAGATTGAGACTTAGTCAGAAGATTATAGAGCCCCTCCCTTTCCCCATCACATCAATAGAACAGTACTATAATCCCAGTGGATTATGGCTGAAACCGGTCAAAGGTGCAGATTTTCTCTGAAGAGGAGTACTTAGGTTAGACCAAAGTCAACAGGTTAGACAAAAACAAGGACACTAATTTGAAGCCATGGCATCTATAACTACAGCAAACAACACAGCCCTAGCTCCTAGCCAGTTAACATAAAATCTCACACTAAAGGCCTATTTACCCCCATTTCTATTCAACAAATTGTTTATGGTTTTCAACAGAAATTACAAGGAAGCTAAAAGGCTGAAGAGATAAGGCAAATATCAGAACTAAACTCAGATATTACACAGATATTTGAATTATCAGACAGGGAATTAAAAATAACTGTAATTAATAGGAACTCTAATGGAAAAAGTAAACAGCACGCAAGAACAGATGGATAATACAAGCAGAGAGATGGAAACTATAAGAAAGAATCAAAATGAAATTATAGGGGGAAAAAAACTAACAGAAATAAAAAAATGCACCTAATGGTGCATTTTAATGAATAGACAGTGGACAGCCCAGTGAAAGAATCAGTGAGCTTGATGACAGGGTGTGAGGCACTTTTTAGTCAAGGAATAGGCTGAGGTGGATATCCAGGCCTGCATGACTCAGCGAGTTTAGAGCGCAGGTGTATAACTCCACCTGTTATCATAGCCATGCAGCCATAACATGAGAAGGCCATCCCTTGGCCTGGAGCCACTGTTGTCTGTAAAATGTATAACTGTCCTGCTGACGCTGTGCATGGGGCTTGGCTCTTGGGGCTTGGCTTGGCTCGACTCAACATGGCTTGACATGGCAGGCATGTTGGCGCCCAGAGAAAGATAGAGAGCCAAAGCTGTCCATTTTGCAGATGGACAGGAGGGAGACAGGACAAGCTCAGCTTGCTCATGGCCAGAGAAAGAGCTAAGCTGCTGGCCCTGGAGGCAGGGGAGAGTTGGCCATGCAGCTTCAGGTATGGGAATGGCAGGAGCCAAGATAATAGCCGAGATAAAGGTAGACAGTATAAGAAAACTGCTCATGGAAAGCTAATTTGAGAAAGCTGTGTAAGAGAGCTGCTGCTGAATGAAACCATATTCACCTGCCTATGGTCTCCCAAGTGTTCTTTCTGCCCATCCAGCCACTCCTCTCAGACTTTAGCATGGGCTGGAGCTGAACCCCAGGATCTGACACAGGCTAATATAAATTTCCAAAAATGAAATTTAAAGAGAAGAAAAGAGTAAAAAATCAGAACAGGCATCCAAGAACTGCAAGACAATTTCAAAAGGTATATCAGATGCATAATTGGAATCTAGAAGGAAAACAAAGAGAACACAGGGAGAAAATATTTTAAATAATAATGGTCAAGAATTTTGCAAAATTGATGACAAACACCAAACCACAGATTTAGAAAGTTAAGAGAACACAAAGCAGGGTAAATAGCATCCCCTAAAAAGCAAACAACCAATCCACCCTCACCAAACTTACCTCTGGGTATATAATATTCAATCTGCAAAAAACAAGCAACAAAGAGAATTTTGCCAGAAGGAAAAAATACCTTACCTATAGTGGAACAAAAATATGAATTACAGCAGACTTCTAGTCAGAAACTGCCAAAGAATGAAGAAAGGGGAGTAAAATAATCAAACTCTTGAGAGAAACAAAACATCAATTTAGAAGTCTATATCCAGTGAAAATATTCTTCAAAAGTGAAAGAGGAAAAAAAAAAGACATTGCCAGACAAATGAAAACTGAGAGAATTCATTGCCAGCAGAACTGCTTAGCAGAAATGTTAAAAGAAGTTAGTTATTCAGGAAGAACTATAAAGAAAGGAAGGATGTTGGAGAAGGAATACATGAAGGTAAAATAATTTCTAAAAATTTTTCTTATTCTTAATTGATTTAAAAGATAACTGTTTGTTTAAAGTAGTAATAGTTAACAATGTATTGGATGATTATAGCATAGGTATAAGGGAAATGAATGGCCAAAGTGTCACAAATGATGGAAGGGAGGAATTGGGAATACTATTATAAGGTCCCTGCATTGCACAGAATGTGGTATAGTGTTGTTTGAAAGTCAACTTGGATTAGTTAAAAAATACGTATTGTAAACTCTAGGGCAACTACTCAATAAAATTTTTAAAAGTGTAACTGATATGCTACAGAGGAAATAAAATGTAATCATAAAATGCCTGATGAAAATTAGAGAAAGTAAATAAAAAGATGAAAAAAAGAATAAGTGAACAGAAAAATTATGAACATGATAGATATTAATTTATCCATACCAATAATTATTTGAAATGTGAATGGTTTAACATACTAACACAAAGAGAGACATTGTTTGAGTATATAAAAAGAATAAAAAGACTCCACTATATTTTGTCTACAAGAAACACGTTTCTCAGACTTTCTTTTCTTTTCTTTTTTTTTAAATTATAATACTTTAAGTTCTAGGGTACATGTGCACAGCGTGCAGGTTTGTTACATATGTATACACGTGCCATGTTGGTGTGCTGCACCCATTAACTCATCCTTTACATTAGGTATATCTCCTAATGCTTTCCCTCCCCGCTCCCCCCACCCCACAACAGGTCCCGGTATGTGATGTTCCCCTTCCTGTGTCCAAGTGTTCTCATTGTGCAATTCCCACCTATGAGTGAGAACATGCGGTGTTTGGTTTTTTGTCCTTGTGATAGTTTGCTGAGAATGATGGTTTCCAGCTTCATCCATGTCCCTACAAAGGACATGAACTCATCCTTTTTTATGGCTGTGTAGTATTCCATGGTGTATATGTGCCACATTTTCTTAATCCAGTCTATCATTGATGGACATTTGGGTTGGTTCCAAGTCCTTGCTATTGTGAATAGTGCCGCAGTAAACATACATGTGCATGTGTCTTTATAGCAGCATGATTTATAATTCTTTGGGTGTATACCCAGTAATAGGATGGCTGGGTCAAATGGTATTTCTAGTTCTAGATCCCTGAGGAATCGCCACACTGTCTTCCACAATGGTTGAACTAGTTTACAGTCCCACCAACAGTGTAAGTGTTCCTATTTCTCCACATCCTCTCCAGCATCTGTTGTTTCCTGACTTTTTAATGATCGCCATTCTAACTGGCATGAGATGGTATCTCACTGTTGTTTTCGATTTGCATTTCTCTGATGGCCAGTGATGATGAGCATTTTTTCATGTGTCTTTTGGCTGCGTAAATGTCATCTTTTGAGAAGTGTCTGTTCATATCCTTTGCCCACTTTTTGATGGGGTTGTTTTTTTCTTGTAAATTTATTTGAGCTCATTGTAGCTTCTGGATATTAGCCCTTTGTCAGATGAGTAGATTGCAAAAATTTTCTCCCTTTCTGTAGGTTGCCTGTTCACTCTGATGGTAGTTTTTCTTTTGCTGTGCAGAAGCTCTTTAGTTTAATTAGATCCCATTTGTCAATTTTGGCTTTTGTTGCCATTGCTTTTGGTGTTTTGGACATGAAGTCCTTGCCCATGCCTATGTCCTGAATGGTATTGCCTAGGTTTTCTTCTAGGGTTTTTATGGTTTTAGGTCTAATATTTAAAGTCTTTAATCCATCTTGAATTAATTTTTGTATAAGGTGTAAGGGAGGGATCCAGTTTCAGCTTTCTACATATGGCTAGCTAGTTTTCCCAGCACCATTTATTAAATAGGGAATCCTTTCCCCATTTCTTGTTTTTGTCAGGTTTGTCAAAGATCAGATGGTTGTGGATGTGTGGTGTTATTTCTGAGGGCTCTGTTCTGTTCCATTGGTCTATATCTCTGTTTTGGTACGAGTACCATGCTGTTTTGGTTACTGTAGCCTTGTAGTATACTTTGAAGTCAGGTAGCGTGATGCCTCCAGCTTTGTTCTTTTGGCTTAGGATTGTCTTGGCAATGTGGGCTCTTTTTTGGTTCCATATGATACTTTATTTTCTTTGGGCGACCTGTCAAGGTTTTGAGAGTACTGGTCAGCTATTTTGTAGAATGTTCATCAATTTGGATTTGTCTGATGTTCTCATGATTAGACTGGGCTATGGGTTTGGAAGACCAAAGATACAGTGCTATCAGAGTGAACTGAGGATACATTCTATCAACATGACTTAGTGCTGTTGATGCCAACTTGAATTTCCTGCCTGGTTGTGGTGATTTCAACAAGTAGCTGGGGTGCTGCCTTGTGGATCTTATTTCCCCAAATGATTTTGATTGTCTCAAAATCACTAGATTTTTGCCTACAGCCTCCATGGGCTTATAGGCCTGTGGACTGGAATTTTAGCTCCACCCTTGCAGACTCTCTCCTCTGGCTGTCATTAATAGGGTTATGTAGGCTGAGACCCAGAATTTATCACATGTAGCTAGAAAGACATCTGTATCTGTGTCAGCATATATTTTTTCATTGTACACCTGTCATATTATAGTTCTACTACCTGATTTTTTGATATGCTGACTTAAGGACTTAACCAGTGTTTTTTGCCTTGTTTCTGAGAGAATATTTTGCCCAAGTTCCAACAGATTTCCAAATTAACTTTGAAACACAGCCCCATTGTAAACTAGAAACTCTCTGTACTTACCAACCCCAAACTATACAAAGAACATGAGGCAAATATATGACCCAATATTCAAAATGAGAAAATATTCCATTGGTGAGTCATGTGCCTCTGTGAGGTGGCCACCTACCTGCATGAGCACCGTGACTGGGAAATGTAGCAGGAAACGGAGTCCTTCAAGGACACTTTGAGGCAGTCTCAGAAGTGCAGAGTAGCTGTCATTAACTGGGAGGCAACCCAAGCGGACGGGCAGTGCTTGTACCCAGCAATCACCCATAGGGTGGCTCGGTACCCACAATAGCATCACGCTGATCGTGCAGCAAGAATGAAGAGCCACAAGTGACTGGGAGTGGCAACAGCCCTTAACCAAACAACCGACAATACCCAAATCAGTATGAGGGGTGGCAGGTCATGGGGAATCTTCAGAAACCATTCCTTATCTAGGAAGAAATAACATCAGCCACTCACTGGCTTCTCTGTGTAAAAGATGACTTTATGCACTATGATTTTTTTTTTAAAAGGATAATTTAGGATCCACTGCCCCTTTCGTAGCTATGCAAGTTATAAATTACAGTGTTAGAAAATGCAGCCGTTTTCATTCCCAGTGGGTCTTGTTCTTTGTGTGTATATTTATCGAATTGTCTGATTCACTTAAGTTTGTAACTACAGGGTCTTGCTCTGGGTTTTAAAAATGAATAGCTCTAAAAAGATAAAGCAACAATCAACTCTTTAAAACCCAGATTTGCCCTGCTTGGAGTAATATAAGGATAGCCGCATGATTATGCAAAACAGCACTGACCTAGAGACAAAAGACCTCGGTGACTCCCTATAGCAACGGGAATTGTGATTTTTCTCTTTGCTTTGAGTGGTGCCCAGTCAGTCAGGGAATACCTGTTCCAGGTGCTCTTGATCTCCTGGGCCTTGTGCAAAAGTGAGATGACAGGGGTCTATTTTGGATGATAAGTAGATAAGGGTTATAAATTCACCTTGAGAAACAATAAAAATAGCTCATCTGAATCTTTATTTATTTATCTCTTACAATTAGAGAAAGTTAACCTACTTTATATGATGCAATCTTCTTTCCTGTTCAGGCATTAGGATGACTGATAAACCTCAAAAAATCACCAATCTTCTTCTATTATTATTAAATCTGCCTCCGTCTGTGCTAAAAATCATTACAGCAGTCTTCTGAGGGAAGAGGCCATACAAGCTTTGCAACTAAGGCCCAACTTGATATTTACAATAAAGCCCCCTGCACCATCCAAATTCCTGAACAGCTGCCACATCATCCTACTTTTCATTTGTGAATTACAAGCTAATAACATAAATTCAATCTAACATTTACAGACTGCATATAAAGGATGCCTACAAAACTGGGCTGCAATAAAACAAGAATCTTAGTAAACGCCATGAATTTGGTCATCACTGGGCCTCTCAAAATAGCCAGCTAGTTGGGTTATTTGCTGGCTTGCGGCTGCACGTGTTTATTGAGCATCTGTTATGTGCCAAGCACTTGCCAGAGCCAGAGTCTTGGAATTGTCTTAGAACAGACATGGTCTCTCGCCTCTTACAGGTGATTTATGGGTGATGAGAGAGAAGCCTGCAGGCAGTTGGGGTGCTGTCTGACATACGCTTTGAAAAAGTAAGATCAAGATATTCTAGAAGCACAAGGAAAGAGCACCACTCACTGTGTTGGTCAAGGAAGGCCTCTAGAGCCCAATGTGTCCTGGGAACTAGAATCAGTTCACCAGATTTCAGGTGCCTCAAACTCAACAGGAAGAATAATTATTCCCTGGGCTATGCCCCTAAAAACAAATCCTAGTGAAAAAACAAATAAGGTAAAGATGAGAGGGAGATCTCTCTGCCCTAATGTTCTAAGTTTTTATGAATCTATAATTATTTCAAAATAAAAAGTTAAAAAACACAAAGTAACACAAAAAGGTAATACTTAAGGAATATTCATGAAACAGCATATTGTCTAGGCCTGACTTCATGGCCCTGTGACCTGCACAGTCCCATAGGGCCTTGCTTAGGAGGCTTTGGCAGTTGGTTTAATGCTCCGCTGCCACCATCTTGAAATTCTTGAGACTCTTAACAAGGGACCCACATATGCGATTTGCACCAGACCTTGCAAATTATGTAGCTGGAACTGCTATTTTCGTAAGTTTCTTGTGTTTATTTATTTATTTTTTTTAAAGAAAGGGGTATTTAATTAAGAAAGTTTCTTAGCAGGAGGCTTGAGGTATGGGAGAAGGGATGAAGAAAGAACTCAGCAAAGGGTGAGACTAGGTACCTAAAGCACACTTATTTTTTTTTTTTAATCTACTTCAGTTGTGTCTAGGGCTAACTCTTTTAGTGCAGAAATATTTAAAAAGAGACTAGGAAAAACTGTATTATTTCTCATAATGATTACCTGTGGCTTGTTTTTGTAATACGTATTTTACCTTTATGGCTGCATAAAATGTTGTATGGTGATTGGATTATTAATAAGACGGAGATAACTATTCTATTGTCCTGATCAGGGTCACATGCCTCTTTCGCATATTTTGTGTGTTGTTTCTTCTTAGAGATGGAAGTGATTTTGTACAAAGAGGAGGTACATAAGGAATGGGGAATAATGATGGGAGAAGTGAGGGGACGAGGGAGAAGAAGAGGAAAAGACAGAGACGGGGAGGGAGACAGAGAGGGAGATGAGGTCATTAGGACAACTTCTCAGTGAGAGTGACATTCGAGCATAGAACTGAATAAGGAAGCAAATTCTAAGTCCCTGAGAATAGAGCAGCAGAGAATTCAGCCTGCTTAGACATGGGAACATGTGGATGGATGGTGGGGAACGAGATCAGAGAAGTGTCACAAGAGACCAGAGGGACTATGGCTTTGTTTAATTTGAGTGTTGAGACATGAGGTTGTAGGTATGTATTTCTGAGTTATCAGCTCTAGTAAGATACATGCCTTCTCCCTAGAACTAGCAGGTCTTAAACCCTGGAGCCAGTAAATGTTACTTTCTAGGAAAAATAGTGTTTCTGCAGATGTGAATAAATTAAGGATCTTGAGATGAAGAGATTATCTGGGATTATTTTGGGAGACACTAAAGTCCATCACCAGTGTCCTTATAAGAGGCAGAGGAAGGTTCTCACTCACGGAAGAGGAGAAGGCAACGTGACCCCAGAGGCAGAGCTTGCAGTGATGCAGCCAGAAGCCAAGGAATGCTGATGACCCCAGAAGCTGAATGAAAAAGCAACAGCTTCTTCCCTAGTGCTTCCTTAGAGAGGGCAGCCCTACTGACACCTCGATTTCAGCCCAATGATACTGACTTTGGACTTCTGGGCTCCATAACTGTAAGGGGATACGTTTCTGTTGGTTTAAGCCACCAAGTTTGTGGCAATCTGTGACAGCAGCATACAAAACCAATGCATTAGTCCGTGGATGATATTTAAGGACATGTACTAGATAAGGTCACCAAGGGATTAAAGGAAGGTGGAGGAGGGAAGGTGTCAGAAGGAGAGCTCTGGGTCTCCGACACTTAGGAATGGGAAAGGAAGAACCGAGCTGTCCACGAATGACTTCTGCATGGGCAGCACTGTATGTGTAGAGCGGGAAAATGGTCAAATAGAACAAATTTGCCAAAACAGAGGTGGCCACTAAATCCTAACTTTTCTAGGAGTTTGCAGAGTTCTTAGGAAATACACAGACCTTTCTCATAACTTATGAAAGGTAACATGTAATCAATCTCTTCTATATGCGCTGTAATCAATATCATGTATATCTTAAAGGGCAGGTCATTCTAGCTAACATCTAGGTGACACAAATGTGGTCATTATTGTGTTTGTGTTTGTAACATATGTGTGTGTATGTGTAATATAGTAAATAGAAAAATCATTCATATCAAATTTTTTAAAAAGACAGTGTAGGTAAAATGATTGATTGAATTTTGATTCTATGTCAAGAATTAATCAGAGCCTATAGAATATGTTTTAAAATACTGGGTTTCAGTCACAGCTTAAAATGGGAATTAGTATGATGTCATGGATTTGATAGCCTGTGCCTGTCATAGTCTGATTTATGGTTGAGCAGGCAGTAATCTCTGACAAATTTAATCTTCACCGCAAAAATGTGAGTCTTTTGCCTGAATCAACGGGGACTTCCTTAAACGTGAAAGATGCATTATGTCATTTTCATTAATTTGGGTTAATATTTTCTTTGTGCAAAGCAAAATTAAACGATGAAATATGCAGTCCTTATATGAAAGAATGTGCTCAGGAGCAAAAATACCATTAATAAAAATGGAATGAGTAGAAAGCTCTTGAAGAAAAGTTAGATTACTTCAACTGAAGCGGGGGGAATAGGGTGACTGGGGTATTGGGTGTGTCCACATGAGCAAAACCGAATTTCTTCTTTAAGGTAATCCGTAACTTACGAAGTAGGAAAGCCACACAGATTCATGGTAACAAAATAATAGAATCAAAACAGAGGCCCCAGGGGGGAATAGCCTGCTGGATCTGTGTAACAATTTCAAGTTATTATTATTATTTTGCTTATTTTTTCCATCCCCACTTCTCTTCTTCTATTTCTTTCTCCAAGAAGATCTTGTTAGCACAGACAAATGAGGCAAGTCAATAACATCCACCCAAATAGACAGGATATATTGAGCCAGTTCAAATGTGGGTGAACAGCAGCTGTGGTCTTGCCTGTGAAATTAGCTCAGAGGTGGCTTCTGCACAGTGAAGCATCAGAACTCTTTCATTTCTACCTTCCTATAAACACTGAAAAAATATGGATTTAGATAAAAACCTATTTGCTGAGATTGTAGCATCTAAGGCTATGTATGGCATGTATGCAAGAAAAAGGAAGACAAAAAGAGAGAAAGCCGATATTTTTCAGTCACTAAAAAAATTGTAAAGCAGACAGCCATGAAGCTGACTGACCTTTTATTGCTTCTGAATTGAGGACGGCTTCCTCTCTTTAAAGCTTCAGTTATATTGCAGGGTTGCTTGGTATTTTTTAATGATTTTGGAAGAAACTAGGGTGACTTAGGCAATGAACCCAATCAGGCTGTTGGATGTGTAGAACTGTGTACCATAAGCCATAAGCCTTTACAGTTTTGTCAATCTGACATCAGAAATTACTCAGTTACAATGTTTTTAGCTTAATTTTCTAAATGCAATTAGAGTGCAAAGCTTACAGGAAATACTGGATCTAACGGGAAGAAAAATAAATAAAACAGGTATACATAAATGATAGATTGATTCACCTGAAATTATTTCTTTAAAATTTGGAGAAGGCCGGGCGCGGTGGCTCACGCCTGTAATCCCAGCACTTTGGGAGGCCGAGGCGGGCGGATCACGAGGTCAGGAGATCGAGACCATCCCGGCTAAAACGGTGAAACCCCGTCTCTACTAAAAATACAAAAAATTAGCCGGGCGTAGTGGCAGGCGCCTGTAGTCCCAGCTACTTGGGAGGCTGAGGCAGGAGAATGGCGTGATCCCGGGAGGCGGAGCTTGCAGTGAGCCGAGATCCCGCCACTGCACTCCAGCCTGGGCGACAGAGCGAGACTCCGTCTCAAAAAAAAAAAAAAAAAAAAAAAATTTGGAGAAAAACTTCAGAGTTTTATTAGATGTGCAGCCATTTATAATTCTATTGGTGGTCTTCACATTTCACGAAAGATTTCGTTGTCTAAAAATTATGTTGTCTTATTGGTTGTGGAAAATTATTTTATGACATGGAAGTGTTCATAATAAGGTTGG
This sequence comes from Homo sapiens, assembly GCF_000001405.40. Classification (NCBI taxonomy): domain Eukaryota; kingdom Metazoa; phylum Chordata; class Mammalia; order Primates; family Hominidae; genus Homo; species Homo sapiens. The sequence goes on from NC_000006.12 coordinate 155,797,004, forward strand.
AGTGGGAAAAGAGATTATAAAAACAGTAGGTATTATGTAATATCATGCAAATCCAGTTTTACCTATATACACTTCTGTATATATATATATGTAGAAGAGACAGAAATAAAAATGTTAACAGTAGTTACCTATGAATGTTGGAATTACAAATGATTTCCTCTTTTCTGTTTGTTTTTCCAAATGTTTTACTATGTATATTTTATTTTACAGTATGAAATCTAAAATACATACACACAAATTCATTTTAAAAGAAGATAATAACTTCAAGTTCTGGCTGTATTTAAATACTGGAATAGGACTTACCTACATTTAAAAAATTCTACAAAACTGAACAAGATGTATGAAACAATCATTTTCAGGCAGTCTGGTTGTGATCTTTGAAAATATGAAAATGCAAAAGGTGTGCTCAACACCGACTACAGATTTTCTTCTGGGGGCTCTTTTCAAACCCAGCACAGGAAATTGAACCCAAATCGAGAACAATGGTCTCTCTGGACAGAGGCAGTAGAGAGTGGTATTGAGGCAGATGAGGTGGCTATTGAAGGCAAGTTCCCAGAGAGAAGGATGTTGTGTAGAAAGGAACCCAAGAAAATGTAATGAAATTTTTTGAGTCTTTGGCCAGATACTAAGTTGAGCATGTTGTGGGAAGCTGATGTCTAGTAGGGAACAAGTATTAGGGGCTATGACCTGAAAAAAACCCATAAAGAGTTTGGATAATGCTGACAGAGAAATGCTTCCGAAAGGGTAGCCAGAGTGGAGAATGAGATCAACAAAAAGTTATAACTTAAGAGTAGGATTATGTTAGCCCTACATACAGTATACTAAAGGCTCCAAGTAAAATTCAACAGCATAAAGCATGCCATAAAAAGACTACATTCTTTAAGAAAAACAATATAATGCAGAACTTTAAATATATAGCACCAACAATATTCCACATATTCCACATTCTTAAAATTTCTAGTTGTTTATAAAGAAGCAGAATTAAAGAAGTAAAGGAAAATAGGAAGTAAACAAATAGGAAGGAAATCCCAAGCAAGAAATAAAAATCATGACAATGTAAATTTTAGCATTTCAAAATACAAAATATGAAATAAAAATTGTACTGGGTGGATTTAACACCAGATCGAATACCAGTGAAGAAAGATTAATGAACTTGAAAACAGGCGTATCAGTCAGTCTAGTGAAAAGGCAGAAATCAATAGAAGACTATAAAGTGTAAAATAATTCTAAAAGGTCACCTAGGACTGAGGGAAGGTAGAGAAAAAAGGACAAATTTGAAAGGCAGAGCCTTCCTGGAAGCTGAGGTTTAGACCTTGTTGGAAAAGGTAGAGGTGCAGCCCACTGGCTAGCAGATCAGTTTTCTGGGTTTCCTAGGCCAAAGCTGGTCCACAGTCACCAAGCAACCGGGAAGCAGCCATCTGGGATGCAGGTAACCCACAGCTGGTGAGAAGGTGCTTACAGTAAATCTGGCGTCTTCATCTGGAGGGCTATGGGAAATACACCTCTAGAGGATAAGTGAGCTGTAGCAGTGAGCTAGTGCACAGAGGAAGTTGGGATGCTGCTGCAGGTGGATGGCCTTGAGTATGCAGTATCTGCATTGAGCAGTTCACAGAAAATAAACTTCTGAAGTTGGGGAAGGATACAGGGGCAGGCATACAGAAGGAGTCAGGTTGCGATGCAGTTGAAAGTTTGGAGCATAGTGGAAAGGCTGTGGGAGGGTGATAACCATGCTGAGCTGGGATTGCAAAATTACTGACAGATTGCGTATTTTGAGTACATGGCTAGGGCAGAGCACAATATTTGCACCACTGACCAATTGTGCAGCAATCAGACCAACAAGAGAAGGCCCTGATATGTTTTGGCTATGTCCCCACCCAAATCTGAACTTGAATTGTATCTCCCAGAATTCCCATGTGTTGTGGGAGGGACCCAAGGGGAGGTAATTGAATCATGGGGGCCAGTCTTTCCCGTGCTATTCTTGTGATAGTGAATAAGTCTTATGAAATCTAGTGAATAAGTCTTACGAAATCTGATGGGTTTATCAGGGGTTTCCCCTTTTGCTTCTTCCTCATATTTTCTTGGTGCCACCATGTAAGAAGAGCCTCTTGCCTCCCGCCATGATTCTGAGACCTGCCCAGCCATGTGGAACTATAAGTCCAGTTAAACCTCTTTTTCTTCCCAGCTAGGGTATGTCTTTATCAGCAGCATGAAAACAGACTAATACAGCCCCTTACTTCTGAATGCTCTTTAAGCACCATCTACTGAGAAGCTTAATATTATCCTAAGTGAGAAATGCTTACAAGACTTCCAACCATTTTTACAAAGTAGGTATTGAAAGGCAAATTTAAATCTGGGAACCAATACATTGATAACTGTAACAACAGGGCAATAGAAATTATACAAATTGAGGTTTTAGAAATTATAAATTATACAAATTTTACAAATCTGAAATTATACAAATTATTCAGAGAGAGAGAAAAAATGACTTTACATAATACACAGAAACTCAGTGGCCTGTAGTATATTATAAAGTGGACTAACTTGTATGAAACTAAAATTCTAAAAGACAAGAAAGTGCAATTGGAATGGAAAAAATATTTGAAGAAATAATGACAGAAGTGTCCAAATTTAAAGGAAACCTCAAAACCCCATAATCTAAGAAAGTCAATGAATCTTTAGCAGGAAATACACAAAGAAAATAGCACTGAAGCACATCATAATAAAATTTTTTAAACCAAAGATAAAGAGAAAAGCTTAAAGGCAGTCTGAGAAAAAGGCATAATGAGCATATAGGGGAACAGCAATCAGAAAAATGGCCAGTAGTATATGACACACAAGTGAGGCCTGAAGACAATGTGTAAGGGGTAGGAAAAAATAGTCATTGTGAATTCTACATGAAGCAATACTATTTTTCAAGAACTGAGAATGAAATAAAGATACTTTCAGAGAGAGAAAAGTTGAGTGAATGTCACAGGTAGATCTGCACTATGTAAAATGTAAAAAAATTTTTAGTCTGAAAGGAAATGATACTAATTAGAAACTGAGAACTATAAGATTAAATACAAAGCATCAAGAAATGGCAAATATTGGGGTAAACATAAAATAATCATTTTCATTTTGATCATATCTTTAAAAGATGATTGATTGTTAATATATAAACAATAACAATGAATTTAGGATTTTCCACAAATGTAGAAATAAAACATTAATATATATGACAATAAGAGCATACCAGAGAGCAGAGGGATCAATAAAATTACACAATTGCAAGGTTTTTACACAGGAATAAAGGAACTCTTTTACATAGTTTATGAAAGAATATGATATTATTTGAAAATAGATCATGATAAGTTAAAAAATATATTGTAATTTTAAAGGAACATTAAAATAAATTTGAAAAAAAGAAAAAATATATAACTAAAAAGTCAATAAGAGATTAAATGAAATAACAAAAATAAATGAATTATCCCAAAGAAGGTAGGAAAAGAGTAACAAAAGAACTAAAGACAGAGGGGTAAGTTGAAAACAGCAAGATAGAAGACTTAAACCTGTCAATAATTACATTATACGTAAATGTAATAAATAAACTGATATAAAGGCACAGATAGCGTGGATTAAAAAAATCAAAATCTAGCTGTATGCTATTTATAAGAGGAATGGTTTAATACTAAGACAGCTTAAAGTAAATGGATAGAGGCCGGGCGTGGTGGCTCACACCTGTAATCCCAGCACTTTGGGAGGCCAAGGTGGGTGGACCACAAGATCAAGAGATCGAGACCATCCTGGCTAAAATGGTGAAACCCCGTCTCTACTAAAAATACAAAAAATTGGCTGGGCGTGGTGGTGGGTGCCTGTAGTTCCAGCTACCCGGGAGGCTGAGGCCGAAGAATGGCATGAACCTGGGAGGCGGAGCTTGCAGTGAGCCGAGATCGCGCCACTGCACTTCCTGGGTGACAGAGAGAGACTCCGTCTCCAAAAACAAACAAACAAACAAAAACCAAAAAAAAAGTAAATGGATAGAAAAAGTACACCAATAATAACAATGTTAAAGTGCCTATATTAATATCAGATAAATTACACATCAAAAAATGTTATAGACAAACATAAATATTTCATAGGTGACAGAAATAGATATTTTATAATGTTCAGGAATTTAAAAAGTAGAGAGATATTCCATAAATGTCAGTGATAAGGAGGAATTTTTAAATAATAAATTTATCATAATGACGTCACAATCTTAAAACATGCACTTAACAGCAGAGATTCAAAAAGGAAGAAAAACTGAGATTAAAAAGGTAGGAATGAACAAATCTACAATTACAGTTGAAGTTAATACTCCTCTTCCAGGCAATGACAGAACAAATGGATAACATTTAGAAACAATGTAAAAGGCTTGAACAGCACTATAAACCAATGAACATAATTTGCATATTTTGAACACTGTACCCAAGAACTACAGAAGACACATTCTTCCCAAGTATAATGCGAATAGAACATTCACTAAATTAATACAAATAAACACCAAAGGATTTCAATACTCCTCAATACATTTTCTATTTTGACCAGAATTTAATTAGAAATCAATCACAAAAATATATCAGGGAAATCCTAGATATTTGTCGATTAAGAAACACATTTTAAATAACACATGGGACTAAGAATAAATCCCAATATAATTTAGAAAATATTTTATACTGAATTATAGTGAAATTTGTGGGATACAGTTAAAGCAATGATTAGTTGGGCCTTGATAGCTTCCTTTAAAGACTTACATTCTAAAAGAATAAAACCTTAAAGTTAACAATCTAAGTTATCAACATGATAAATTAGAAAAAGGAATGCAAATTAGAAACAAAGTAAGCAGAGGAATGGTGTAATTAAGATTTTGCTCCTAGCAAAAATCAATGAACTAGAAAATGGACAAATAATAGAGAAAAGCAACAAAAACAAAAGTAATTGCTTGGAAAATATTTTTTCAAATGATAAGCCCATAGCAAAACTGGTCAAGAAAAAAAGAAAGAAGGAGAGGAGAAAGGGAGGGGAGAGGCTGAAAGAAAGAGAGAGTGGGGAGAGAGAAAGGGAGAACCACAGATTACAATATCAGAATGAACAGGTATGTCTCTATGGAGCCCACAGAGATTAAAGAATATTTAGGCAAATGTGAACAACTTTATACCAATAAATTTACAACTTAGTACAAATTGGTAAATACCTTGAGAGTCACAAATTACCAAAACTGACACAAGAAGAAAGAGAAAGTTTGAACACACCTATATCTGTTAAAATGTTGAGTTCATAATTAAAAACTTTCCTACATAGAATATTCCAAGCCAAATATTTAAGGAAGAAATAATCACAATCGTGCACAAACTCAGTCAGAAAATAAAGGATGACATAAGCATAAACCTGATAATAAAACAGGATAAACATAGTACAAGACCAACATCCATCATAAAAATGAATATAAAAGTCCTTAACAATACATGAGTAAATCAAATATAGTTCTAATAAAAAGAATAATATATTATGATAAATTGGTATTTATCCAAGGACAGCAAGGTTAATTTAACATTCAAAAATCAATTAATATAATTTACTATATTATCAGAATTTTTAAAAAGTCATAATATCTCAGATGACAAAGAAGTATTTGATAATATTTAATACCCCTTCATGATTTAAATAATGCTCTCTATTTTCATTTCTTTTCTTTTGTTTTTTTGGATTTGAGAAAGTTTATCTGGAAATGAATTAAAATGTTACCCTACTGTTACATCTGTGAGGACTTACAAAATATGCACATTTCCATATTGAACAGAAAGAGGTTAGATGTATCTAAACGCAATGCATTAAGGGGCATTTGCTACATTCATATAGTTTCAGAACATTTGGAAATTGTGATTAAATTCTCAGTAATCTGATATTTTCTTGCCAAAAACACCCCTCGGCAAACCAGAATAGAAGGTGACTTCCTCGATTTAATTTTAAAAATGTGAAAAGCCTACAGCTGACGTTAACATAATGGTCAAACAATGAAAGCTTTCCCCAGGAGTAGGAGCAATGCAAGGATGAACATTTCCACCAATTATGATATATCCAACATTAAACTGGTGATTCTAGCCTGTGCAATGAAGCAGAAGCAAAATAAATAAAAGGCACATATATCAAAAAGCAAAAAGCAAAACTGTCTTTGTTCACAGACTGGTTTTGTGAGAAGAAAATCTGAATAAATATAGGAATTTAACAAGGTCACAGGATACAAAACCTAAAGGCAAATTTTAATGTATTTCTACAGAGCAGTTAATGAGCATTGCAAAATGAAATTTAAAATATCATTTACAATAGTGTAAAAAATATAAAATAATTAAAAATATATTCAATGTGTGTAGGCAATGCTGTTATACTAAATCTACAATTAATGCTCAAATTTTAAAAGATGTAAATTGATGAAGAGTTATTCCATGTTCATGGATTGGAGGACTCAATAAGATGTGAATTCTTTGCTAGTTGAAATATAATGCTAGTTATACTTTCACCAGGTAAGTTTTGGTAGGAATTGAAAAGTTGATTCTAAAATTTATATGCAGAAACAATCAAGAATAGTCAAAATTATGCTGAGAAAGAATAACAAAATTGTACAGTTTATACTATCCCATTTCAAGACTTACTGTACAGTTACTGTAATTTAGACAGTGTGATTTTGGTGAATTGATAACCAATTGATTATTGGATCAGAATAGGGTTCAGAAATAAACATAGAGGACCTGTTAATTTTTGCTCATATACAGGAGCCATTAATTTTTTACCAAGATGCAAAGGTAAATTAATGGAGAAAGGACAGTCTGTTCAACCAATGGTGCTGGACAAACAAGGAATCAGTGTGGAAATAAATGGACCTCAAATATTATCTCATTCCATACACAAAAATTAATTTTAGACAAAATCAGGAATGTAAACGCTTTTAAAGAACACGTTCGACTATTTGTTTTCAAACTTAAGTAGATGATAACTTCATAGAGAGAATAGAAAAAAGCAATAAACCTAAAAGAAAAACGTGATAAATTAGAGCTCATCACACTTAAAACTTTTGCTCATCACAAGAAACTGTTAAAGAAAATGAATAGGCAAGATTACAACTAAATATTTGACCTCAACTAAATTTGCAAAGCATCTAGTTTATATCCAGAAAATATAAAACTTCAGTATCTTCAATTTTTAATTTAATTTTAATTTTAACTTTAATTAAAAAGCCAAAAACATCATTAAAATGAGCAAAAGCTTTAAACAGTCACCTCAAAAAAAGATACCTCCAATGATCAATAAGTACATGAAAATGATCAAAATTACCCCTCAGAGAAATGCAAATTGAAACCACAAGATACCACTACAAACTCTTTAGAATTACTAGAATTAAAAACACTGGAAACATGAAATGTTGGCAGTGATGTGGAATTGGAACTCTCTTACATAGATGGTAGGAGAGTGCAAAGGTATAACCATTATGAAAAACATTTTGATAATTTCTTACAAAGAGAAAAATACACATATCTAGGACTCAGTATTCTACTGTGGCATTTTTCTCAGAAGAACATTTATAGATACTTTATTCACAGTAGTCAAAAAACCCAAAGTCTATCAATGGAAGGATGGATAAGTAATTTGCCGTATATTCACAGAATGGAATGCTAATTATTAATAAAAGGGACAAACCATTGATACAGACAATAACGTGAATGATTCTCAAAAATATGCTGAGCAAAAGAAATCAGACACAAAAGAGAATATTCTGTATCTTTCCATTTGTAGTCGTTCAAATTAGGCAAAATGAATCCTTAGTGAAAACAAATTAGAAAAGTGATTACTTCTGGGTGGAAAGAATTAACTGGGAAGCATGCGTTAATTTTATGAGATGGATATTTCCTGTATTGTTTATGAAGGTATGTCCACGTAGAAAAAGAAACTGAATTATATGTATGTAAAAGTTATGTTAAAAACTGTCAAACTGAAAAATTGAACTCTTGTTAGTAGATTTACTTTTTGTTGCATCATGGGTTAGCAATTCTGAAATTACTTTTTTTGCATTTTCTAGACTTGAACAAATGAGTACATATATTAAAACTGACACAAGAAATAAAATAAAAATAATGGCCGGGTGCAGTGGCTCACACCTGTAATCCCAGCACTTTGGGAGGCCAAGGCAGGTGGATCACGAGGTCAGGAGATTGAGACCATCCTGGCCAACATGGTGAAATCTTGTCTCTACTAAAATACAAAAAATTAGCTGGGCGTGGTGGTGCATGCCTGTAGTCCCTGCTACTCGGGAGGCTGAGGCAGGGGAATTGCTTGAACCTGGGAGGCAGAGGTTGCAGTGAGCCGAGATCGCACCATTGCACTCCAGCCTGGGGACAGAGCTAGAGACTCCATCTCAAAAAATAAATAAATAAATAAATAAATAAATAAAAATAATATCGAGAGGCAGGTTTCTCACTGGAGTGTAGAATTATGACATGAAAATATAGAATGTGTCCAGTAGTGCTGAACTGGAATTGGAGGTATCTGTATGAATTCACAGTTTTGTAGAGATAAATATAGGGGTGTGTGTGTGTATGTGTGTGTGTGTGTGTGTGTATAAATTTCATGAGTCACACATGGCAATGAGTACACCCAGTGCTGAGATCTTGGTTTTAAACTACCATTCTGTTCTAGAAGGTACCAGAGCTGCTTGAATGAAAGGATAATTCCAGGCATGGAGCAGGGAAAGCACATAATATTTTTGGAGCTTCTTTTGTGCCACAAAGTTAAGAAAGGCTTAAAGAATGATGAAGATCATATCAAAAGCACCTAGGAACCATCTAAAAGGGGCTCTCTTTTACCCTAGGACAAATTAAGAATCTAAGTAAATAATGATAGTAATGGATTATAATCCATTGACAAAAAAGTATAAAGCCATTCTGATATAAATAATAAATGAACAAATTGACAGGCAAACAAACAGGGCACAGGGACACCTCCTCACAGTAGAATGCTGACTTATGAATATCAAAGGGGTAATGGGTTCTGAGATTCATAAGTCATAGCTTTCCTTTGTGAAGTATCTAACCATATGTGGAAAGATATTTCACAAAGGAAAGTGATACACGGTTTGGCTGTTTCCCCACCCAAAATCTCATCTTGAATTATAATCCTCGTAATCCTCACATGTCAAGGACAGGACCAGGTGGAGGTAATTGGATCATGGGGCCAGTTTCCCCCATGCTGTTCTTGTGATAGTGAGTGAGTCTCATGAGATCTGATGGTTTTATAGGTGTGTGGCATTTCCCCTGCTTGCACTCACTTCATTTTGCTGCCCTGTGAAGAAGATGCCTGCTTCTCCTTTGATTGTAAGTTTCCTAAGGCCTCCTCAACAATGTGGAACTGAGTCAGTTAAACCTCTTTCTTTTATAAATTACACAGTCTTGGATATTTCTTCCTAGCAGTGTGGGAGTGGACTAATACAGAAAGCATACAATATCAAAGTGGTGATGGGATCAATTAATGCTAAAAGTATTAAGTGAGAAGTTTATGAAGTATGGGATATTTATGTAGTTTCAAAGTATCTCCCATAAATAGTTTACTACTTAACAAGGGAAAACAATACCTTTATAGAGGAGAAACTTGTCAGTTACCACTTGAACCAGCCAATAAAAGTTACTGTCAACAATGTGGGGACAAATTGACATCACATGGCTCCTGATATTATTGAATAAGAAGAACATAACATTTCAGTGGCAGTCCTGAGAAAAAGATATAATCATAATGTAATAGTGAGGAAATATCAAATAAACCTAGATGGAGACGTATTCTACACAATATCTGTATGATGTACTTCAAAAGATTAAGGTCATGACAGAGGCAGACGAGCTGTAGATGTAATGCATGCTCTTCAGTTAGATCCTGGACTGGGAAATGTGTATACATAATATCTATTGTATAAATATGTATGTATATGTATATTCATGTCTCTCTACAAAAGATACTATTGGGAAGATTGACAAATTTAAAAATGCACTGTGGATTAGCATTGTATCAGCATTAAGTTATATTTACTGATTTCGATAATTGTACTTTCCTTATTGAAGAGATCTCATTTTCCTTAGGAAGTAAAGTATAGGCGGGGGTGGTAAAAGGTCCTGACATTTTCTGTTTCAAAAGGAGAGAACCAGAACGTGAAGGAAGGGGAAGAAGAAGAGAGGAGGGAGCAAAGGAAGAGGAAAGTGGGTCAACAGGCACACAATTATTGAATCTGGGTAAAGGTCCTATGGAAATTCCATGTGCTATTCTTGCGACTTTTTTATAAGCTTGAAATTATAAAAATAAATTAAAAGTCGAGGGGAAAAATGGGGAAAAGACTTGGATAGATACTTCACAAAGCAAAGCATACAAGTTTATTGCGTAATAAGCAAATTAATTAGCATAGCCATCATATTGTACCCCATAAACTTGTACGATTATTATGTATCAATTCTGAAAAACAAACATAAGGAAAACATGAATGTGCAGGTTTCTTTCCTGGAGGATCATTGCGGTTTGAGGCAGTGCAGCGGGCAATAGGAGCCTAAGCCAAGGCAGCTTTGTGGTGGACTTCAGGGCCATCAGGAGCTGTGAACTACCTCAGAATTATGCTCAGTGTTCTTCAAAGAAGCTATACAAGTTGTGGCTACGTGGCCTGAAATCATGAGTTCCAGTCCTAGTATCTGTGCATTTTCTTGGTTAATGATGGCATGGGTAACAAATACTGGAAATTGTACTGAGCTCTTTCTTTTCTGGAACAGAAGTTTCATTCAGTTAAAATCAACTGTATGGAGAGAGTAAGGAGGAAAAAAGCTTGCCACACAAGTTTGACTAAATGGAAGGAAAATATACAGTTCTTTAAAGGTTTAGCCATGTTACAAGAGATCTGGTGTTTTAAAATCATCTTTAGAAGATGCCAGATGTTTAAAGAGTCAGCAGGCAGTGAGGCTGGAGGCCACCAATGAACAGCTCACCAGATCCAACTGTGCTCTTCACAGGGAGTAGATTCTAGAGAAAAAAAGAACTGAAAGGAGAAATCTAAATGTCAGAACTAGATGAACTGATTACCCACGTTATAAGAAGGATGAAGTCCCAAGAACAAAACTGAATATTCATTAAATTATGAGTGGCTTTTCCCAGTAGAGCATTGGTCAGAAAGGAATCCCCGTAAGATGCTTCTCCTAAGGGTTGGCCTTCATGTGAAAAAAGAAACTTTTACTCCTCTAAGCAGATTCCGTCACTTCTTCCTTCAAGTCAGTGTCTCCTGTTGCTGGAATCACGGGCACATAACCTGACATGACCACTTCCTTTTCCTCCTATTCCTACCGAAAATATATGGATTGATTTGAGGATACTTTCTGCCAAGGGATTATTTTGGATATCACAGCAGTCAATAGTAATTAATAGTAAAAACAACTCCTCTGCACCAAAGATGTTCCTGACTCCTCCATGTACCTGCTTTTCCCCTAGTCCTGACAAATCCCCACACTGTGAAAAAATAATAATGAGTGATTTGGGTTGATCCACCTTCAAACAAACGTGCTACTGAAGGCAGGTGTGGGGGCCAAAACTTGACCCCTTAAAGGTTCACTGAAAATCACTGACAAGAAGAAGATTGACTAATAGGAGAAAAGACATACAAATTTATTTAATGTGTATATTTGGAAGCCTTCAAAATGAAGACCCAGCTTCCCAATGAGGTACAAAGGTTGACATACCATCTTGAGGTTACAGAAAGAATGAAGGCTTGGATCCTGGCAGAACAGGCTATGGGAGGGTGGGAAGAGGAATTCTATTGATGTGCAATAAATGATTACTAAGGAAAATAACTGGAACAGAAATTAACTTGTAAATAGTTCTCTTTGGAATTTAAATAATCATTTGAGACACTCATTATCTTGAAAAATGTATGTTCAAGTATGCTTACATTTTTGGTCTTCTTTCCTGTAGTGAATAATGAGATACCAGGGAGGGGAACAAGAACAATTGTTCTCCTGGGTGAGTCAGTCCTGTCTTTCTGTTGATAGGGGAAAACTCTCCTCCAGTGCTTATTGATCTCTATGAGGTTTTAACTTAAAACACTCAGATTGCCATATTTTGGGGTGAAATATTTTGAGTTCCCTCACAAGGAACCTGAGACTCTTGTCTCTTCAAAAATATTCTCTCTTATTTTTAGCTTAGAGAGCTGCTATATCTTGGGAGATTACATTTTTGCCCAAATGGAAGCTTTATAGACTTATAAGTCTTAGAATAGTGGTTTATAAATAAAACGTATATAAATATTTTCTTTAAAAATATTGAGATCACATGGAGGAGTGTGATGAGGTCTTGTGTGATTTTTACTTCCATCGAATTTTTGCAGAAGTTTTTAGGCCCGCATGGAAACATTATTCAGGCCGAACCTGACGTTTCAATGTGAATGAGGAAGAACTGGCTCTAGACTGATGCATGAAAGCACACAGAAAGAGCTCCTCTTGTGTGTAATTTCTGCAGCGGAACCAGTGCTCTTGCCAGTTTTGTGTGCTGATTCCACATATATGTTCTGGTTGCGAGTCATTTATAAACACTTGTCAACGGAGATTTGAATCCCTGTGGTGCTGGATCTGAGGAATATAAAAAAACAAATTAGTAGAACTGAGTCGCTCATGAGAAGCAGCAGCAAGTTAACCTATTTAGTGTAAGATTAGACATCAGAAGACAGTTGTTTCTCAAATTGTGTCACTACAGTAGCCGTTTCTCTCTCTGTGTGTGTATATATGTGTATATGAATTGTTGCATGATTTAGTTTTCTTTTGTCGACAGGAGTCAAACTATGTAAAATATTTAGAGAGGTTTATTCTGAGACAAATATAAGTAACCATAACTGTGCCTGAGACACAGTCTCAAGATATCATGAGAACATGTGGCCAAGGTGGTTGGTTTGCAGCTTGGTTTTATACATTTTAAGGAGACGAAAGACATCAATCAATACATGTGAGGTATCCTTTGGTTTGGTCTAGAAAGACAGAACAACTGGAAGTGAGGGGCAGGCTTACAGGTCCTAGGTAGATTCCAAGATTTTCTGATTAGCAATTGGTTGAGAGTTAAGTTATTATCTAAAGACCTGGAATCGGTAGAAAGGAGTGTCTGGGTTAAGATAAGGGGTTGTAGAGGACAAGGTTCTTATTATGTAGATGAAGTCTCATATGTGACCACCTTTAATAACAATATGTGGCAAATGTTTTCTATTCAGACCTTTGAAAGGTGCTCTAGACTCTTAGCTAATCTCTTCAGGAACAGAAAAAGATCTGGAAAGGGAAGGGGATTCTCTACAGAATGTAAATTTCCTCCACAAGAGACAGCTTTGCAGGGCCATTAAAAAATATGTCAAAGAAATATATTTTGGGGTAAAACATTTTGATTTGTTTTCAGGGCCTTCTATCTATCAAGTGATCCCATACTAGAGTTAGGTTGGAATTGGGTATCTTATTGCTACAAATAGTCTGTTTTGTTATTCTTAAGATCTCTGTTTTAATATTAATACTGGTCAGTTGTACCTGAATTCCAAATGTATGAGTATAATGAAGCATGTCCCACCCACAGCCCTTCCCATCATTGCCTGAACCAGTTTCATTTTAGGTTTCTTTGAAATTCTCTAGGCCGAGAAAAGGGACCATTCAGTTAGCCGGGGTGCTTAGAATTTTATTTTTGGTTTACACTTTTGTAAATTATTTCACCTACCTTTGGTTTCCCCCAACAGTTTGTAATAGATTCAAATTGAATACAGGTCTCTATATATAATTTTACCGAGGATTACGTGAATTAAATAAGTTGCTCATTTAACTCATTCCACTGAAATGAGTTAAATTAATATATGTAAAGTACAAGAAGATGTAGCACTTAATAAGGGGAATAAAGTCATATTATTATTACTCAAAAGGGAACAATTTAAACAACTTAGAGTTTCCCCAAGAAAAAGAAATACTCCATGAGTACAATTGTGTTATTTCTTGTGATTGTTAAAGTGTATCCCTGGTTCTGAGTTAGGAGTGGGAAGGACGACAACTGTAAATTAGAGAGGGCTTAGAAAATGTGCTAGCAAATGTGAACAAAAATAATTTTTTAGGAAGAATATGGTGGGGAAGACAATGGATAAGGTCATTTCCCATGCCAGCTTTCAGGTGGCACTATTATCTCTTAAGAGCTAAGTTCCTATCCACCTGGTGGAGCTCCTCCAGCCTAGAGGGTGCAAGGGTGAAAAAGGAACAGGTGTAATTCGGGGAGGGAAAAGGTAGGAAGTATTCATCTGGTCGGAGATATTAATAAAGTGTATGTCTGAAACTTAGAATGTTGGCAAATAGAAAGAGGGAACGTAAAACATCTAAAGAGAGAGGAGTTCTATAAATTGTATTCCTGAAGTAGTGTTTCTTATGTTTGTTTAAAGCAAAACGGGTTGCGTTTTGGAAAGAAATTCCTGGTGGTGTTTTTCTGATGTTTCATGTATTTGATCTGGCATGTTGAGCTCAGTGGGCAAAATAACGTATGATTGATTGAATTTATATGCTTATATGTCTAAGTAACACTGGCTAACTCACCTCTCTCTGGCCTTCTATTTGCAAGCCAATATTGCAAACAAATTAATATATAACTACACAAAAAGATTCCTGTTTCTCTGTTGTCTTGGCATCCATTTACCTGTCCTGAAAAGAAGAATAGATCAGCCATTTTTTAAAATCCATTTCAAGAGAGATTATAACAATTACCTATGCAGTCAGTCTGTGTCATTAAGTATAAATGAGTCTGTGATGAGAAAAGTCAAAGCTCCATTTTATTAGTCTTAATTTTAGTTTTTATTTTTAGATACCTAATTTGCTTTCACATTTGATACCTTAGACAAAAGCATAGTCAACTGCTGATCTCTTGCTTTTCCCTGCCGTGCGTGTAATTGGACACTCTCTTAGCGAGGACACAACTGTTCACATAGATACCACAAAGCGATGAAGACTGCTAGATTAAAAAGAAATCTTTTAATATATTTGTGATTAACTGGCAACTATAATAAGGAGTTGCAGGGAAATAGAAATAAACAGAAAAGGTTAACAAGGTAGGACACAGAGATGATTATTTGCATGGGAGGAAGAAAGGCAAAACAACACCCAAAGCTTTCTATCTGACATCAACCTGTTTGATAAATAAGTAATGGGGAAAAAGAATTTCTGCCCTCAGATGTACACATTTTGCAGTATTCTAGCTGTGACCTTTGTACATGGCCACAAATTCTATGCTAAAGAGCGAGTCTATGAATTATGTAAAACAAGAGATGATACAGAAGATTTGTGTTAGAAATATGTAGCTTTACTTTCTTTACTGCCATCCAGGACAGAGAGCTCTTCCTAGTGTCTTTTTTTTCCCCCGTAGAGTTTCGAGTATATGTCTTTTAACTTTCTTGACAACTTTGTTTACTTCTTTATCATCTAAAAGACTGCCAAAAAGATCGTCCAAAAGAAAGCCATTCTGTCCAAAGAATAGCAGATCTAATTGTTAGAATAAAAATTATTGAGGTTGCAATCTATCATGGTTAATATCATAAGATTAAACTTAGGTTTGTATCTTTGAGGGCAAATGCTAGATAAATGATAGTCCAAAACAGCACTATGTTGGCCCATTTCCAAAGGTGCCTGCAGGAAAGTGTCAGTAATGCTGACAAGCCCTGGGAGATGCAATTCTTGACCAGGTGCTTAATATCAAAGTAGAGAAGAAGATGGCAAGCAGTTGACCAAAACTACAGAATCTGGGTGATGGGTGCAGTGATTTCTGGTGGCTGATTTCAATCATGTGAAAGAAAAACAAAGGAAGATCTAGCCAAACTTACTAAAGGGGAATAAAAGACTGAAAATAAGAGACGTGGTAATAAAATAGCTACTACTCCTCTGAAACACAAGGCCTCAAAGCAACCTGCAACTGGCCTGAAGGAGGTGAATTACTCCTACTTTTGAGGAAGGAAAGGACATAAGGAAAGTGTGTCCTGTTAAGCTGAACACTCTGTTTCTGTAATTATAACACTATTAGGTTGGGTTTTTTTTTATTTTTTATTTTTTATTTTAGCATTTGAGAGGCCAGATGTCAAGCTTTATACATGATTATATATAATCTTTCTGATAACCTTGTGAGATACAGATAAGAAAACTAAACCACAAAAAATTGAAATAACATCCTCAAGGTCAATGAGAGTTGGAATTCACACCCTGGCCAAACCCAGAACTCGTAACCAATGTGCCCCATTGCCTTCATGCCTGGTGTCCCAAGACAGCTTAGTTTCACAACGTTGGTCCAAAATACATGCTTTTCTAACGTGCAGTCATTCATATTGCAATTTAGGAAGACCATCTTTTTAGCATCATAGTACTGCTTTATTCTCAGAATTATCCCGACAATATATATAGATTTTTTTGGTCACTGCAAGGTGGTTGCTACGATTTCTTCTCATTTTGTGTGTTTCTTGACCTGAGACATTTATTGACAACATGTTTCCACTACTCTAGCTGGTATTCAAATCCTCTCTGCGTCAGACTTTTATTATGTCTGTGCCGCCTCATTGCCTTAGGCCCTCATCTGGTAGAAAACACCCCCTGGCCTGCAAAGATACATGGATTTGCACTAACTCCATGACACTTAAAATAATGTGTTTATTTCTTTGGCCTTTAAAGCATAGCTTTATTAGACGTTTTTAGGGGTCAGACTTTGATTATGTACCTTGAAAAAGTCAAAACCTATAATTAGACCAAAATAAAACCGGGAAGTTTCTAAGTCTGTACGGAAAGGACCACAAATCTATTCACTTGCTCCACTTAGTTTGAATGAGCTGGTAATATTTATAGAGAAGTCAGTATGCTCACAAAACTGTCTATCAGGAGCCTAAATCATGATTCATAATAAAAATGTGTTTCAAATACTTTCAGATCTATAAGAACAACCAGGTGATTTCAAAATATTAAGAAGTATTTATTGGAACAAAATGTTTGGGGGATATTGGGAATTTTTTTCCTATACATTAACATCAAGCTCTTACAGCATAGCCAAAAAAATCAATGTGAGTTATATTACATTGAACTTGCTTCTTTGCTTGTATAATTATGAGTTACCTAGCAACACATTAATCAGAAATAGTCCCTGTTTGGATACTGGCTGTGAAACTCCAGGCCTCACAGACTCAGCAAATTCTCCAGACCTTGGAACCAAAGTTGTGAGCAGTTGGTCTTTTGGTGCATCAAGATAGTGTTTCTACTTTACTTTTGAATGGAGTTTTGTTTTTGTTTTTGTTTTTGTTTTTAGAGATGGAGTTTCGCTTTTGTTGCCCAGGCTGGAGAGCAATGGCACGATCTCGGCTCACTGCAACCTCCGCCTCCCAGATTCAGGCAATTCTCCTGCCTCAGCCTTCCTTAGTAGCTGGAATTACAGGCGTGTGTCACCACCCCAGGCTAATTTTGTATTTTTAGTAGAGACGGGGTTTCTCCATGTTGGTCAGGCTGGTCTTGAACTCCCAACCTCAGATGATCCGCCCGCCTCGGCCTTCCAAAGTGCTGGGATTACAGGCATAAGCCACCGCGCCCGGCTGAATAGAGTTCTTTAACTTGGGGCCTGTAAACAAAAATTGAGAACAAAGATAATACTACAGGAAAAGTATTTTGGAGTTTTCCACCCAGTAAACTTACATCTATCATTACATTATGTTTATTCGGGTATAGCTCAATTTGATAATAGGCACCACTCCATGAGAGAATTGTTAAGTACACTCAATTTAACAGCAAGGTCTCTGTCCTGTTACTGGTCTTTCTCCTCTCCTTGGATGACATTACCAAATTAGTCATTTTCTTTGTTGTGATAATGATGTCAAAATAAGCAAGATGCTTTTTAATAAGCTTAACGCCAAAGCAAGTTTAAATACTGTATTGTGTTTTTATATTATATGTTATATAATGCTATTGTCTTCTTAGACCACTTTGTGCTACTGTAACAGAATACCCAAGACTGGGTAATCTATAATGAACAGAAATTTATTGACTCATAGTTCTAAAGGCTGGGACGTCCAAGATCAAGGGGCTGGCATCTTACAAGCCCTTCTTGCTGTGTGATCCTATGGGAGAAGACAGAAGGGCAAGAGAGGGTAGGAGAGAGAGGCAAAAGAGGACTGAACTTGTCCTTTTATAAAGAACTCATTCCTGCAATAATGAACCCACCTCTGAGTTAACGGCATCAATTCATTCACAAAAGGTGAGCCTTCGTGGCCTAGTTACCTCTTAAAGTTTTCATCTGTGAATACTGTTACAGTGGCAATTAAATTTCAACATATGCTTTTTGCAAGACACATTCAATCCTGTCACCCAAAACATGTGCTCTTCTCCATACAAAATATAATCATTCTATCCCAATAACCTCAAAGTCTTAACTCATTCCTTAATCAACTAAAAAAACCCCAAAGTCTCATCTAAATCAGATATGGATGAGACTCAAGCCATTCATCTGGAGATAAATACTCCTTCAGCTGTAAGCCTGTGAAATCAAACACATCATGTGCTTTCAAAATAAGATGGTGGGACAGGCATAGGATTGGAATTCCCATTCCAAAAGGGAGAAATGGGCAAGAAGTAAGGAGTAACTAGTCCCAAGTAAGTCCAAAAGCCAACAGGGCAAACAACATCACATCTTAAGACTCCAGAATAATCTTTTCATGTCCATGTGCCACCTTTTGGACACACTGCATTGGACACTGGGCACCTAAGGCCTCAAGTAGCCCCACCTTTATGATTTTGCTCAGCCCACTCAGCAGCTGTCACAGACCGGAGTCTCATGCCTGCATCTCTCTCAGGCTGGCATTGCACACTGGTGGCTTTACAGTTCTGGGGTCTTGGGGATGGCTCCACTCCCATGGCTTTACTAGGCATTGCCCTAGTGTGGACTCTCTGCAGCGGCTCCACCCATATGCCACATTTCTGCCAGGGTCCCTAGGCTGTCTGTGCCGTCTTTCAAAGTCTAAGTGGAGGTAGCCATGCCTCCACAGCTCTTGCATTCTGCATGACTGCAAACTAATTTCTACATGGATGTTTTAAGGTTTACTTCTTGTGCCCCCCAGAGCAGCAACTTGAGCTGTATCTAGGACCACTTGAGCCACAGCTCTGGTGGCCAAGGAGCACTGCATGAGAATGCCGGGAGCCCCAGGCAGCAAGCCTGTGGAGGGTACCCCAGGCCTTTCCTACAAAACCATTCTGCCTTCCTAGGGCTCTGGCAAGAGGGGCAGACTCTAAGTTCTCCAAAATGCCCTTGCTCTCATTCTCTCATTGTCTTAATGGATGGTACCTGCCTCCCTTCTATCCATACTCATCTCCTTCTCAAACGGTTGCTTGGCTACCCCCTTGATATACTCTCCCGAACATGTCTTTTTATCTTCACGTGATCAGGCTAGGGATGTTCCAAATTTTTACATTCTGTTCCCTTTTCATTATAAATTCTGTGTTTAAATTATTTTTATTTTCTCTCATTTTATTGTATGCAGTTAAAAGAAGCCATGCAATTCCTACAGATATTTCTCCTGCCAGATAGTCTGATCACTCCTAAATTCTGCCTTTCACAAAGATCTCAGGCATGGACACAATTCAGCCAAGTTCTCTGCCACTCCATAACAAGGATGACTTTTACTCTCGTTTCCAATTCCTTGTTCTGCATTTTCATCTGAGACCTTATCAGAACGGGCTTTACCACTCATATTTCTACCACCATTCTGCTCAGGAGCACATAAATACTCTCTAAGAAGCTCAGACTTTCCCTACAGCTCTTTTCTTCCTCTGAGCCCTCAAAATTCTTGACTATTTGTGCTGGAGACTCTTCTCCTGCAGGTGGCTTGTCCCACATCCCTGTCCTTATAGTTGCACTGTGTTCAGTTTCACTGGACTCATTTTCCCTGTGCTTGTTGAGACTTCTGGCTCATACCGTTGCTTTTCTCTTGATTTTGAATCTCAAGACCATTTCTTCATTAGCTACCTGATCAGCAGGGACCGGTTTCAGTCTCCCTCCTGTTCTAGGAATCATACCACTGCCTTCATGTCAATTCGTGTGGTGGACTTCTCTCTGGTCACAGCTTTCTTTGGGTCTTCCTATCCCATGAGCTACACTAACTTTTATGGCCTCAGGCAGCCCAGCCACTGGCTCTGATTTGTCCTGGCTCTTAGGATGCATTGAGAAAGTTGCCCAACAGCTATGAGAGAGCGTAGAGGACTGCTTCAAGGTTTTTGATTAGGAAGAAAAATTTCTACAATAATTACTCTCTGGAATACTGTCCTCCAAGAACAAACAGGCAATTTTTTTTTCTGTAAGTTTTTCTCATGATGACCCTTAAAAGTGTATAAAACTGTCTTTCTCTCAAGGAACAAAATGGTTGAACTCCATAAGCAAATCTGCCTCAGACATAAAACTGCGCCTTCCCAGGCAAAATCATGTGCTTCTCAGCATTTCCACCGCAGGTGGCTCCCTCCTGCCTCACTGCATGCATGTTACATCTGTGCTTGCGATCATTTGCCCTCGCTTCTGTCCATACTCAGCTGCTTGAATGTCCTTTGTGTTAGTTCATTTCAAAACCTTCTCTTTTTGAGTGGCTGAATTGTTATCAGTGTAACTCACCTCACATGCAAGAACTGAGAAAAGCATCACAGGTAGTTAAGCACTTAATAAATGCTTGTTGTTAGTGATGAATATATACTAAAATATTAATCAGCTTTAGGCTTTCATAGGCTCAGAAAGTTCTTTATGCACGATGATAAAAACAAAACCAATAATTAGGTTAAATAAGTAATACCCTCCTATAAGACTGGGGTAAAACCTAACAAATCTATTTGCTTGCTCTCTCCCAATCTGCATTTCTGTTACCTTACAGTTCATTCATCCCTTCAGCTACAAACAAAGTCAATGTTAACTGCAGCCCCATACCTCTGCGCTGAGGCCTTTGTGATGTCTGGGTCTCACCATGGAAACGTTCTGACTGTAGACTTCAACTGACACACAGCTGGGATGGGCCACTCTGCCTGCATGTCACTGACCACCTCCCACTGCTCTGGGTTCTACCATTTGAGGAGACACCTGCATAGGTCAAAGGCTGGGTGGCTAAGAGAGCTGACGGCACTCCTGATCTCTGGGCCTGGCATGAGAAGACATTGGTGGGAAAGGCCAATAGAGGGGCTCATCCATCCCTTGAGGAGGAATAAATGAATCCCTGGAGTCTCCAATGCCCAGAGACTCCTCTTCTGGTCTTAGCCTTGTCCACATTTGGACATGCACTTTGATATAAAGTCAAAATTTTGGCAAAAGGACTAGTCCTAAGAGTAAGTCTGTTGAGGTGGTGGGATACTGGGTCTCAGTTACAGGCTCCACTCTAAAACCAGAGAAAGCAAGAGGAAGGAGGAGGAGGAGGAAGAGAGAAGGAGTAGGAGATGGAAGAGACAAAGAAATAAGGAAGAGACAAGTCTCTTATTATGAAAGTAAGTGGATGTCTGGAACTGCAATTAGTGTGATATCCCTTGCGTATGCGACCCAGACTTGTTTAAGAATGAAAATGGCACCTGCTGGTTGGTTGAATAACTCTTCACTTTGTTGTCACATCATTTGCACTTTAATATGGCAGAGGAATCCGAAAGACAGTTTTTGTAAAAGATGGAGAAAGAATTGGGGTCACTGGAAAGTGGAATGGTGAGCCGAGGAGGAACAGAATGAAATGGGCAGGATGAGGTCACCCAAAGAGTCCCCTCCTTATTTCCCTCGCCAGGCCTCAGCATCATCCCCTCAACGTCCACACCTCCTCCTCACCAGCACTGCCCACGCCGCACCAGCAGCCACCCCCTGCAGCATTCCAGACTGGGGCGGCCTTGCTTTTCCTTGTCCTTAAATCTCTCCTTTTTCTACACACTTCTCACATTGACAGATGCTCAACAGTACACTAGGGATGGGGGTAGAACAGTGGTGGCCTTTGGAGACTGACAGGCTTAGACATGAGTAAAAGCTTTGTCAATTACTAGTTATGATGTGAGTACTGTTATTTTTTAAACAGATGCCAATTTAACAGGTGACAAATCGTATGTCACTGTTTTAACTGGAGTTCTTTGATTACTAAGATGTAAAAAGTCTTTGAAAATGATTATTTGCCATTGTACTTAAGCACTCCAACCCCCGTTTGCCCATCTGTTTGTTTCGTGCTTGGGTCTGTCTTATGGGGGAAGTCGGAGGAACTTATGCCCATAGAGTGCTTAGCACATAGAAAGACCCTGCAAATGTTCACTGTTATTTGTATAATACAGGAATCAAAAAGCAAAATAAATACAGTTCATGAAGGAGCACTTTTTTTTTCTCATTTTCCAAATGAAATACGGCCCTTGGATGCAGAATCCTTCTGGGTCACTAACTCAGTGTGAGCCTGAACAAGTGTTATTTTTTTCTCTATAGGTCTCCTCTGGTGCTTCATCTATAAAATGAAGCGGCTACGCTGTATGGTTTATAAGGCCTAGTCCACCTTTAACATTCTATCACACTCTGATCCCACTTATTCCTCTCCTAAAGATATACATTGCTTCCAAATGGCAAACTGAGGACAACAAAGTTGCACAATATGATGAAAGTGTCAGTAACCTTTCTGTGTTAAAACTGTTAGAATAATTACAAAGATACATGCTCCTGTATATTTACTGTGGCACGATATACAAGAGCAAAGACATAGAATCAACCGAAATGCCCATCAATGATAGGCTAGGTAAAGAAAATGTGGTCCGTATACACCATGGAATACTATGCAGCCATAAAAAGGAAGGAGATCATGTCCTTTGCAGGGACATGGATGGAGCTAGAAGTCATTATCCTTAGCAAATTAATGCAAGAACCGAAAACCAAAACTGCATGTTCTCACTTACAAGTGGGAGCTGAACAATGAGCACATGTGGACCCAGTGGGGGAACAACAGACGCACCAGGGCCTATTGGCAGGCAGAGGGGGAAGAGCATCAGGGAAAACAGCTAATGCCTGCTGGGCTTAATACCTAGGTGATGGGTTGATAGGTTCAGCAAACCACCATGGCACACATTTACCTATGTAACAAACCTGCACATCCTGCACATGTATCCTGGAACTTAAGTTAAATTAAAAACTGTTAGAATATAGACTCATACTAGAACATAAGCTCCAGGAGAGAAGAGATTTTTGTTTGTTTTGTTCATTAATGTATTCCCAACACTTCAAACAGTGTGTGGCACATAGTAGATGTTCAAGAAGTATTTGCTGAATGAAACATATTAATACCTTGTATAAAAATAAGCATTTCATGCAGGAGGAAAGTGACTGCAAATCATTATTTTCAAAGACCATTTTTATTTTAGTAATCAAAGAAATGATGACATGTGATTTGTCAACTGTTAGACTGGCAGATGTTAACGAAATAACAATACTCACATCATCAGTAAATGATGGAGAAATTATCACTTTTACCCTGTTATAGAACAATCTTCCTGGAATTCAGTGTGACATTACTTATCAAAAGGCTTAGAAATATGCACAAACTTTGACCCAGAAATTCCACACCCGGAAAGGTATTTTAAGGAAAGAATTAAGAATATGCAAAGATTTAGCTATAAGAATTCTGTTCATAGTAGTGAAATTTGGAAACAACCAAAAGGTCCAACTAGGGGCAAATTTGGTAACAAAGGATGATATAGTCTTTGAATGAAATACTAACTAGTTATTAAAGACATTACACATGAATATTTATTTTTAAAAATACTCACGATGAATGTCCTAAAAAGGCAGTTTATGAGATAGCATGTATAGTATAATGCCATATAGAAATTCATCTACAGCTAAATAAAAGATTTCCATAGCATACAGATGACAAATTATATCTGGTTATATCTGGGTAGTGGAGTTATATACTTCTGTACGTTTTTTTCCTTTTTGCTAATTTTATCATTTTTTTCTTCAATGGCCATACATTGCATTTATAATGAAATAATTGTTTTAATTTAAACATTTACCTTTTAGCTGTAACAAATGTAGACTTTTCGATAGTCTGTTATATTTTTCCCGGTGGCATCTGAACAGTGTTCTTTGCTCAGCCAGCTTTTCTTGCTCTATCATTAGCGTGGCTAAGTTAATCAGATTTTAAGCTCCCTACGGGCAGGTTTACATTTTTTCGTTATTCTTTAACATATCTTGCACCCCTTCTGGCTGCTAAATAAAAATCTGCTGCCCTGAAATGCAGTCAAGTGCAATTTCAATTTCTGCTCTCATTAAACGTCCCCTATAAATCCATTTAAACAGTTCTAGTAATAAGAGTATCCCCCAAGGTTTTCTTTTTTCCTTTGTATTGTAAGCCAATTACTCACGATTCCTGACACTAGGGAAGAAGAGACTAGTACGATAGGGGCGTATGTGTAGAAGCGGAAAGATATTTGTTTTGTGTTGCCCCAGGGTGGCTGAGCTAAGTCACAAGAAAGTGAATTCAGCTCAGCTAAGGAAGAACTTTCTAATCATTAAAGATGGGCATCAATAGGAGGTGACTATAGTAAGTTTATAAACTCCCTTTCATGAAGGACACCTAAGCATTGCATGTGGATGTCACCAATGAGTTAGAAGTTGGACTAGGTGACCTTTGACCATTTTTCCAAGTATAAATGTACCTTATTCTCTTAGGTCTCATCTGCTGCTAAGAAATCAAGGGCTAGGGGAAGGTAAAGTGTGTAGATGAATGCTTTGTTTGGCTTGATGTTCCACATTGCTTACCCTTGGAATCCAGACTCAAAAACCCCTTCCCAAGGCACCGTGCCATCTCTTACCCCTTTCATTTACTCCTATTCATCTGGCTATGCACCTGTGAAGAATACTTCTCTTCCTTCTTCCAGCATCTGAGATAAACATGAGCTGCCATTTATTAAACAATTTTTGAATGATTATTTTTTGGCTAAGCATTATGGTAAATACTCGATGGGAATTGCTTCACGTCATATTCCCAAAACAACCCAAAAAGTTAGGATTGTAACATTCAGAAAACCAAGGCTAATAAAGGTTCAATAATGTGCCTAAGGCCACACAACTAGTACAAGCAAAGGCAAAATTTAAACTCAGGTAAGTCTGACTTCAAAGTAAAGTATGTAATAATATGGCACAGTGGCTGATGAAATGTCAGGATTTTCATGGGCAACAACATTTTCAGACTACATCTCTGCCTGCTTCTCTACTCCGTCCAGATCCCTTTCTGGCCTCCTGTCTGTCCCAGCCCCTGATTCTCCTTCTGGCTACATTGCCACCCTTCTTGCCCCAGTCCTCAGTGGACTCCAAGTGTCCCCAACAAATGTGTTTCTTCTAATCCCCAGCCACCAGAAGTATCCACAGTTGTCCAAATCATAGTGTCTCTCTGAGAGGCACTTGAAGCTCAGGCTCATGGGCTAGTGATAGAGTTTATGGTCAACTTTATGTGTCCACTTTACTGGGCTAAGGGGTGCCCAGATAGCTGGTAAAACACAATTTCTGGGGGGTGTCTGTAAGGTTGTTTCCAGAAAAGATTAGCATTTGAATCAGTAGACAGTAAAGAAGATCCACTCTCATCACTGTGGTTGGGCACCATCCAGTCCAATCCATTGAGGGCCCTAATACAACAAAAAGGCAGAGGAAGGGTGAATTGTTTCCTTCTCTCTGTTTAAACTGAGACATTCATCTTCTCCTGCCCTTGAGCATGGGAGCTCCTGGTTCTCAGGCTGAATTACACTGTCAGCTTTCCTGGTTCTCTGTCTCGAAGGCAGCATATGATGACTTCTTGGCCTCCATAATTGCATGAGTAAATTCCCATAATAAACTTATCTATCATTTCTATTATCTATCTATCTATATCTATCATCTATCTCTCTATCATTTATCTTTCTTCTATCTACCTATCACCTATCATATGTATGTGTGTATCTATATCTATATCTATCTCATCTATCTGCATTTCTATCTAGCTATGTATCACTTATCCTATCTATCATCTATCATCTATCTATCCATATCTATCATCTATCATCTCTCTCTTTATCATTTATCTATCTTTCTGCTATCTACCTATCACCTATCATATGTATGTATGTATGTATCTATCTATCTATATCTATCTCATCTATCTGCATTTCTATCTACCTATGTATCACTTATCCTATCATCTATCTATCTATCTATCTATCTATCTATCTATCTATCTATCTATCTAACCTATCTATCTATCTATCTATATCTTGGTTCTGTTTCACCAGAGAACCCTGACTAATACAATAGGGCACTCAATGCTGCACCTTTGTCCCTTCTCCCAGAGCAACCTCTCTGTCTTAGAAGTTTCAACATACCTCCAAACCAGCCTTCAGCAACACCTTTCACAGAGCCTCTGTGTAGGTCTTTGGAGTCATTTTAATGCTTTCTGAGGCAGGAGCCCCTCCTTTGAGTTACTCTGCAATTCACTTCCTTTTGATGAGACAGGCAGGTGTGAATGGAATTAATTTTTGGTCCCCATAATTCTTGTATTCATTTACCAGCTAGATACACTGTAGTTGTTCCTTATTTCCTCCCACTTTTACAACTGCTGGCTGGAAATTCTCTCTTCTTTCTGCCATGCAAGTGTTATGTGATCTTCAGTGGGACTGCTTGTCTGTATTCTACTGTGGGCTTCTGCTCTTTCTTTCACTCTGTATGCAGTCCCAGAATCCCAGGCCACAGCACAGAAGGATATCTACCACAGCCAGAGGAGCCTGGGGCGTACTTATTTCATAGCTAATGTTAGGAGGATAAACTTAACTTGTTTATAAATATGGATGGGTACTGGTGTCCTGTTACTGGGTACTCTAAAAAAGACTGCATCACCACCCTCTAGGTTTTTTTACTTTATAGTGATATCAGGAAATTAATGCAACACATTCCCTTTAATAATGATTATACCCATACTGTAAACTATAAAGAAAAATGTCCAAAGAATACCTTTGAGAAGCATGAAGCCAGAAAGCAACTTAAGGAATTCTAATTCAGTTTGGCTACCATTTTATAGTACATACATGTGCAACCCTTTCTACTCTTATTTCTTTAACTGATGTACTTTTGCAGTGTTGTTTCTCGGTTTTTTAGGCCTATCCACATTCGTGTTGGTCCCTGGGGTCAGCATGTCATATGCAATGATTTCTTGCACAATGCCGTATTCAGATACATGTGGAAGATATGTTTTCTCAATTTCAGTTGATTGATTAGCAGATATCTTTTTGGTTTTGTGGCAAGGGGGATGGTTAAAATATAGGTCTTTCCCTGAATACCAGTGCCTGATATTATGTAATACATTAAGCTATTTATCTGTTTATCATTTTCTCTCCCTACCCCACACTGGAATGTAACTTTATAAGTACAGACATTGACTGTTTAATTCACTGTATAAACTTATTGCCCAGAAAAGCAGAATATCATGAACAAGTTATGTTCATCACAAGAGCTTAACAGTTGATTCACATTGGAAAATGGATTAATGTAATTCGCCACATTAATGAATAAAAGAGAAAAACCATATGATTATTGCTTTAGATGCATTAAGAACATTAGGTACAATTTCACATCCATTCATGATAAAAGACTTCTATCAAAGTAGGATAGAAAGGAATCTTCTTCAGCTGATATAGTTTACCTAGAAGAAAAAGTGTAGCATATATAAAACTTTATTTAAAGGCAGTCAATAAAACATAAAGAGAGAGATCACCTTTGTTCACACAGCGGGACTCGGTTTTGTTAATGTGTCCGTTGCCCTCAATTGATATCTAGATTCAATGTAATTGCAGTGAAAGCCCCAACAAAGGTTTTCATGCTTCAAAAGCAGATTCTAACATACATTGGGAAGGGCAAAAGGACCAATAATAGTAAAAAATACTCTTGGGAAGAAAAAGGTAAGGGAATTTGGCTTAGCAGATATCAAAACGATATATAAGGCAGTGATATATAAGGCAATGAGGTATTTATGTAGGAAAAACAGAGTCACATATATGGGTATAAGGTGACAACATAATACAGAAGTGGCATTGGAGATAAGTGGCTAAAAAAAGATGGATCGTCTCATAAATGGTGCTTATTCCTAAGTAAACAAACAAAATTGGATTCTTCTTTGCAACATGCATGAAGCTAAATTCCAGAAAAATTATATATCTATATGTGAAGAGCAAAATATTCAAAGTTGTAAGTATAGTATAGAAACATATCTTTATATTCCTATGGTAGAGATTTCTTAATTTGAAAAGCAGTATCCATAACAAATTGATAAATTCAACTTTGTTAAAATTAAGAACTTTTTGACACACAAATATCTGTCAAATTTAGTGTCCAAAATATATAAATTCTAAAAATTGAAAAAATTATATAAAATAATTGTTTAAAATAGATGGACCTAAGGAGGAGGGAAAATGCAAATGTTTAACAAGTTTATATAAACATGCTTTCTGTCTTATTAGCAATTGGAGAAATACAATAAATGTTTTAAAACACCATGTAATAGATTGGCAAAAGTTTAAAACTTTCACAATTTAATGACGATGCTGGGCAAAGGGACCTTTTATTCTCTATTGATGAAAATTTAAACAAAGCCAATCACTTAAGAAGACAATTTATCATTGTCTTGCAACTTTAAACATGTAACAGCTTCACGTAGTAGAGACGTCAGGGCCCTACCTCCATCCTCTTGGCCAACCCTATTGCTGACTGCAGGTGAGATGAACAGGCTCCATACACGCTGATAGCTTCTCAAGCATCTGCCAGGATTTGCTTGGCCTGACAGTGCCAGAGCATGAAATACCTCCAGAGCCACACTGCACACTGAGGGGTAAGAAGTGGTGGATAAATAGCCCAGCTTTCTTTCTCCTTGGAGGGATAATTCTGAGGTAGGTTTAACAGTCTCTTGAATGTTTCCAGTGGAATTGGTTCCAGCTGCCCACAGCAGTAACCACACATGAATATACCATTTATTGGCATTTCATCCTTCCTTGCTGTGTTTCCCCACTCCCTCACTTTGCTTCCTGTAATAATCTTCCAAAAAAAAACTCCTATGCATGGAATTATTTGTCTCAGGACCTGGATTTTGTGGAATCCAAGCTAAAATACTTTATGTTCTAGCAGATCCCCTCCTGGATAAATACCCTAGAGCAATTCTTGCACGCCTACCCCCTAGAAGAAATTATGACACTGTTAATAGCAGCATGTGATAAGAAAAAAAAAATCTAGAAACAACTAAATGCCCATTAATGAAAGAATGGATAGATTGTGATGTAGTCACTTAATAAAATACTGTACATGTGTAAATATTAGTGATCTACAGATGTATTAATTGACCTCAATACATTTTAGAAGCATAATGTTGAGTGGAAGAAGATACTGAGAACACATACAGTATTTTTTTATTAAATTCAGAAACAAGTTGAATAATATTCTGGCATTGGTTCTATTATATTTCTAGGTTAGGTGGTAGGTTCATGGGTTTTTGTTTTAATATCATGCTTCATGGCTCATATATTTATTGATAAAAAATGAAAAAAAGGACACATCTCAGATACAATAAAAACATTTATTACATCTCATGTTTTATTTTGTGGAAAGTTTGTGATACCATGTACTAAAATACATCAGTCAAGGGATATGGTTATTATACCTAAAGGCTTTATATATTTTCATGGGTTTTCTAGTTCATGTTTTAAATATTGCAAAATCTGTGAGATTTATGAAGACTCTTTCATAGGGAAAATCCACTTTAAACATCTCTACAGTTTCGCTAGGTATCTTCAAATAGAATAGAATTTCAGTGTGATAAATTAGACTCCTTAGTTCCATAGCTGACGTATAGCTGGCATATCCCATTGATGTTCTAATATGTGATATGTTCAAATATGTGATAACACATTTTGATTTCTTATAATGCTTAGTCCCATATGGTCCTAAACTATTACGACCTTTGTCATGCTTGGGATTTGTGGAAATTTCACAGTGGTAAGGGTTGTGACATTACACGCTGAATTACTAAAATCACGCAGCGCAAAGTGACTTGCACATGAAAAGTGCACCTTGGTGCTGAATTTCCTATTTTTTTCTACTTGAAAGTGTATGGTCTTATTTATAAAGTAAAGTATTTATATGCTTTACATAACAAAGTCTCTTCTTTTACCACATTTATAAATTAGCTGAGTCATATTTAACAAAAAGACTGGTCTAACTTTCTAAGTTTAAGTCAATTTTAAAATCTGAAATTGTATATGATGAAAATGAGACCCAATTCAGTATCAAAAACAGGTGGCCAAAGTCACAAGGGAATTATGCGGAAAGGGTAGATATGATGTAAAGAAAGACATGTGTTATCTTCCAAAATACTATCACTACTAATAAAAAGCCATTGCACAAGCCAAAAAAATATATTAATCTGTTTTGAAGAATGTGTCTGATAATAATGAGATTCAACAATACATAAAATAAAAAGAGATATAAACTGGAACTCTACCCAGCTAACTTCCTGGTTTCTGTAATTGAATGTGCAAATAACTAATTTAAAATGATTCAGTGGAGGATTAGAATGGATTGTAAATCCTGGATTTGTGATTTGAATAGTGATGATAGAGCCGAGAATGTTTAGAAGGAACAGAAACCCTACCCTAACTTGTACAGAGTAATAATCACTGTGTACCTTGTCCTGTCTAATTCCTATAAGGATGGAAAATGAAAACATGGCCAGTATTTGCAAAAAAAATAAATAGAGATGTATGTCCACTTTGGGACATGCATACACAGGGATAAAGACTGCACTGGATGAATCAGAACACCTTTCCAATCCTTTCCTTTGCTTTCCAAATGCATACAATCTTCATTTTTGTCCAAGAAAAAGAGAGAAGAGCTATGGATTTGGTATTTCTTTTCTACCATGTTTATGAATTTTCAAAAGGATACTTTTGATGTTAGATAAAAAAGACAAAACAAAGAGAAAAAATTGCTTTGAGGTAGAAAAATTCTTTGACATGCCATTTCTGTGCTAATAAATGATGAAAAGTTTGGAAAGTGATGAGAAGGTTGACTTTTATTGTGTACTTATTTATGCCAGGTATTGTGAGACAATGACTAAATTCCTTTTCTCTTTCTAAAACTCTTTTGTAAAAGTTGGAATCTGGAAGCAGCACAATATTAATAACAATCTCTCGCATTCACATAAAGCTTTATAATTTATGAAGCAGTCCTTCTTACCTAGGGAGAAGGAAACTTTATTTACTGTATGCTGACTACATGCAG